>NC_000003.12:125978301-126129816 GCF_000001405.40 Homo sapiens | reverse complement strand
GGGAAATGAACCTGGCGTGAGGCACCTCACCTCGCCACCCAGTGGCCCCAGGGCAGGAGTAGGGAGAAGGGCTTGGAACACAGCCACCGGGCTCTGGGTTTTCCCTGCTAGAGGAAACTGGGCAGTGACCTCTCGAGGCCATACATCCTGATTTGGCCCCAGTCCTGGTGAGTTACTCACACGCGTGCCTGAGGAGGCTTACCCAAGAGTGCATGGCCACTGTGCTAGGCCGGTGACAGCAAACACCAGAGCAGCAGGTGCTGGTGCAGCCCTGATCCATGATCTGCACTGAGGATGCGCCTGCAACTGGACCTAGAGAGCCCCAGCCCTGGGTCCACCCTCACTGCGCCTGCACGCGGTGCCACAGGAGAGCCTGGCCAGGGTGACCTGGGAGCAGGGCCCAGCTGGCATGAGCACCACAGTCATTCCCACCTGCTCTGTGCCCCTTGCAGGGTAGGGGACCTCACAGCTGTGGGCATGGCCAAAGGCCCCTCAGCTCCACCTGAATGTTGGAGTATTTGCAAGGAGAACGTGCTCCAATGTCCCTGTGTCACTGACAGCTCATGCAGATGAACAACCAACTCCTCAAGCACGGGCTGGAGGAGGCTCCTGTGGGAAAGTGGGCTGTGGACCCTTAGAGCCCCAGAGAGGAGCCAGGCTGCAGGTGGAGGCATCGCCTCCAGGGTCCCCACAGAGGACATCGGGCAAGGTCTGCACATGGTTTTGGTTGTCCCATCAGAGGGGGTGATAGAGTACAGCCCCCCACAACAAAGAACTGCCCCGCCCCAAATGTCAGTAGTGTGGGAGCCAAGAAACCCTGCTATGGGGCAGTGGTCAGAGACCTTTGTCGTGCTTTGAAAGGGGCTGGGCTGGGCTGGGCAGGGCAGGGCGGGTCGTGGCCCACCTGGGGCCACAGTTCAGAGCCACACTTGGGTCTTTGAGGCTGCCCACCCCTCCCAGCTGCCAGCATGGGGTTGGGGGGTGTCCACCCCCATCAGACTGAGGAGGAAACAGACACTGTGTCACCCAGAAGCATCCCTATGTCACCCTGTGAGGCTGGCCTTGGACCCAGGACTCTGGGCGCCTGGTCAGCACCCCAGTGTGAACACATCCTGCCCTGGGGCCTGGTCCCAGCAGCTCACACAGACCAGGGCTCGCCCAAAGGCAGGTAGGCAGGGCCACTGCTGACCATGCACCTGGTGGGCCGTGATTCTGGAACTAATGGTCTCTGCCTGGCAGGGAGGCCGCCAGGGCCTCTGGGCTTCACCCCTCCCCACCTTCACAGGGGACCTCGCCTCAGTGGGAATGTTCTGGAGCCGGAACCCAAGGTTGGAATCCCAGCTCCTCCCCTTTCTAGGGCAAGCTCCCAGCCTGTCTGTACTCAGTCTCCCCAACTGTCAAATGGTAATAAAACAGTCCTGTCCTCACTGAGTTGTTTGGATGGGTGAGCATCAGGTGTCTAGGGCACAGCATGCTGTGAAGGAGTTAGGAGGGCCAGGTGAAGGAGCCATGCAGGGCCGGGCCTCCTGGGTAATGGGACTAAGAGGAGAATTCTGTATGTGGTTCTGAGAAGGAGCAGAGTCCAGCTCTTTTGGATGTTTGTGTTAGGAAATTTACTAGAGACCATGTCACTGCTCCACTCGGAATCCTCGGGTGGCTTCCCAGTGCCCTTGACATGGAATCAAACTTCTCGCTTGGCCATGCAATCCGGGCCTGGTATCCTGGCCCCCTCCCCAGTCCACTGTGGTTGGCTGTGCTGGCCTCACGGATCCCAGGCCCTCCACCCTCATGCCCCACTGAGCACTTGCACCTGTGTCCCACCTCCAGCCCTCACCAGCTGTCCTCCAGCTCTCATCTGTGATGCATCCGCCAGACCTCTGCTCCCAGCCTGCCCTCTCTAATCTATAATCTCATTTTATTCTCTGTGTGAGCATTCAGACTGATGCTGCCCTGTGCCCATGCCTGTCATCATCCCAGCACACCTGCAGTGTCCCATAAATACTGCAGAATGACTGAGTGATCAGAGCTAGAGAGCCCCAGCCCCGGGTCCACCCTCACTGTGCCTGCACGCGGTGCCAGAGGAGGGCCTGGCCAGGGTAAGGGGCTGCCCATCTCCTCCCCTGGCCAGTGCCACCGCAACCTCAGCAGTGAGGCTGCAGCTGCCTCGTGGGGAGCCCCTTCCCCTCATGTCTTCAGCCGCACCCTGGCCCAACAGCCACTCGAGCTCCCTAGTGAGCCAAGCATTTCTTGGGGACACCAAGAAACCTTGCTTGGTGTCCCCTGCCCAGGCTCCATGCTCCCGAGAGAGAGAAGGAACTCCACCCTCACCGTCCATGCAGCTCCCCAGGAGCGTCAGAGGGCAGAGGAGGGGGCTCAGGGCCGCACAGCAGGAGAATGGCCCCAAGGGAGGGAGGGACGGGCCTAAGAACCATGGGGTGGTTGTCTCACTGGATGTCCACTCAGTCTCCCACTAAGAAAGCCCACTAGGAATTAGAGGCAGCAAGGCTAATGAAAGTCGGTTTTCACAGCAGCTGGGCAGGGAGGATTCACCTGGGCCTGGGTCCTGCAGCCCTGCTCCTTTGACCCCGTGCCAGGGCCAGCTCTGCACACTCCAGTCCCGGGGCTCGGCCTTTCCCCTAACCAGTGAGTGTGGGCGTCAGTTCGGGCTGCTGTAGAAGAGACCACCAATCCAGGGCCTAATCAATGGAAACTCGTCTCCTGGTTCTGGGAGCTGGAAATCTGAGGTCAGATGTGGGCAGAGCTGTTTCCACATGAGGGCTGTGAGGGTCTGTCCTGACCTCTCTTCTGGCATCTGGTGGCTGCTGGTGACCTCTGGCCTTCCTTGGCTTGCAGGGAGACCCCGTCTCTGCCTCATGCCCTCTTGGCATTCCCACTGTGAGTCTGTCTCTCCATGTGGTGTTCTTTGTATGAGGACAGCATTCCTCCTAAATTAGGGGCCCGCCCACCCCAGTGCTACCACATCCTAATTAATTACAACACAGCAATCTGGTCTCCAAGCAAGGGCATGCCATTAGACTCTGGAGATTAGGGCTTCAGCATACGAATTGGGGAGTGGGGGCACAATTCAGCACATAATTGTGGGGCTTTTCTGATGTGTTTTCTTTTCCGAGCTCCCCTCAGCCCCGTTCACTGTAACCGACGGCTTCACCTGCTCCCTGGGAACACTCAGCAGCCCGTGCTGTGCTCCCAATCTCCTGGGTGTGTGTGGGGTGTGGGGCAGCTCCCCTATCTCAGTGCTCCCTGCTGCTCCCCCCTGATGCCTCACACGGGTCCTGCCCACCGCCTGTGTCTGGCTAAGCAGCTTTCTTTTGGGGAAACACCCAGTGATGGTGGTGGGGTGGCGACAGGAGCCTGTGCGTGGTCTACGGGGCTCTGTGTGGATGTCCTCATCTGACTGTCCAGCGCTCAACCAAAGTGGTGCTGTATGGGGGGAAGGCAGGGCCACACAGGATTCATACCCGGCCAGTGTGCCTGCTGGTCCCTGGGACTCTGCGGCCTCCCCAGTGCCCACGGTGCTCTGAGTATGAGGCACCTGTGCCTGGCCAGAGGCTCGCTCTAGAACCCAGGGTGGCACTGACACTGGGCACCATGGCTTCACACAGAGCACCCTGACTTCATCAGTGCTGCCTTGCTGACTCTGTCTTCTCTTCTTGAGGATTGACACCTGGCCTCACACTCTGGAGGACCCTCTCCAGGCCCTCCTGACCCACCCCTGGTGACCCCTGACCCTCTTTAGCTGACCCTGGCCTGTGTCCTCACCTGTGCCTGCCTGCCATCACCCTCTCTCATTGCCTGTGCCCCAGACAGTTCCACAGCTTCCATCAGAAATGGTCCAGTATCCCATGCCATCCTGCCCTGCTAGGAAGAGGGGCTGCTGCCAGACCAATTCTTACTGTAGCATCCAGGACAGAAACAGCAGGCGTGAGCTGCCTCTCAGAGGGACCTTGGGTGCCTTATCAGGAAGCCTGGCTTTGAGAGTGGATGTCAGGCCCTGGGTGAGGTGGAGGGAATTGGCAGGTCCACTGTGGGCCTGGTGGAGAAGAAGGACAAAGGCCAACCTCTTTTGTGTGGCAGGGTTTGTGGCATCATCATCCCCTGGAACTATCCCCTGATGATGCTGTCCTGGAAGACAGCTGCCTGCCTGGCTGCCGGGAACACAGTGGTGATCAAGCCTGCTCAGGTGAGCGTGGGTTCACTCTGGACAGGGCCTGCAGGCCACAGAGAGGATCAGGAACTCACTCTATAAGGGAGGAAGGGAAGGGCCTCTCTTGGCCACACGGGCACTGGAAGAAGGGTCCTGCTAATGCCAGCTGCCCTCCATGGGCCCCACTCTCAGTGGGCAGAGGCGTATGTGGCAGGCAGAGCTCTCCAAAGCAGACTCTTTTTCAGCCATGGCTGCTTGAGGCCATCTGGCTGTGCTGGAACTTGCAGCTGCTCGGGTGAGCAGAGGCAGGGATTTCTGCACTCTGGATTCATGGGGCAGAAACCAGGCCCCATGCTCTAAGACAGCCTGAGTAGTCTATCCATAAAGCTGGTGCCATGTCCCTTATGTGGCTTCCGAGACCAGAAGTCCTGGAGAGAAGCAGGGTGAGCGGTGGGATTCGTGGTCCCCATCCCTGCACACAGAAGCTACGCAGTGTGGTGTCTGAGAGGTGTAGGTGGGGGAGTAGAGGCGGGATGTCAGGGGTCACCCAGGCATGCTGGGAAGGTCCTTGGGAGTGAGGACATACCCAGTGAGCCTCAGTTTCTCCATCTGTACATTGGCAATGACAGCCTGCCCGCTGCCTGCCTCCCAGGATGGTGCATGACATGGCAGGGATGGTGTGCCCAGGAGGGCACCCACTCGCCAGCTTCTTTGGGGTAATTTCGCGGCAAGGGCATTGATGTAATGAAAAACAATAATGATGGCTGACATTGATAGTATTTACCCTGAGTCAGGCATGCCTCAAGCATTTCAACATGTATCACAAATTAGGTAGTAATTTACATACATTTGCTTATTTAAGCATCACACACAACCCTCTGAGGAGACCTTAACCTCTGGCTTTAGAAACTTATGCTGTGCAGAAGGGAACCCAGGCCTGGCCGGCTGGAGCCCTGCCAGGAGGAGAAGCTAGGGCACCAGATGTTGGCCCACCCTGATTCCCAGCTGGTGCTGTGGGCGCACCGGCTGGGCAGGCAGGGCCCCCTCTGGTGGCTTTCCTGGGGTCTTCCTGGTGCCACAATCTGCAGCTACTCTCCCAGCTTGCTGCTGGGCTGCTGGGAGAGGAAGGCGGGGAGGGAAGGCAGAGCCCCACTTTCAAAAACCTCCTTACCCAGTCTCCTTTCCTGGCCCCACACCCAGGTGACCCCACTCACAGCCTTGAAGTTTGCAGAGCTGACATTAAAGGCCGGCATTCCCAAAGGTGTGGTTAACGTCCTCCCAGGATCTGGTAAGAGCCATTGTCGGGGGCAGGGCTAGGGCTTCTGGCAGCTGGAGATGCCATTGGGCAGAGCAGGCCCTACTGGATAGTGGCGTGAGGGCAGAGTAGCCTGGGGAGAGCCCAGGCGGGGGCCAGCCTGTGACAAAGGAGGCCCCTCCCATGGGGGAGAGCACCTGCACCTGGAAGGGCTTTCGTCTTCAGATGCCCCAGCTGAATGTATTCCAGTGTGTGTGTGTGTGTGTGTGTGTGTGTGTGTGTGTGTCCGCGCGCCCTGGAATAAACTTGTTACTTGGGGATTTTCTGCCCTTGGAAGTTTGAGAGAATTTTTCTTTAGAACATTTCAGGCTTAAAGCATTTAGGGAGGTCATACATGAATCACTTTTTAAGTTTTTGTTGTGTTTAGTTGTCTAGTTTATGGAAAAGTCTCTTCTTGTGCAGATTTCAAATGTATTAGCATGAAGTTGTATATAATAATCTCATAATTTTTATCTCCTTTTTGGATTTTCCTTTTGATTGTTGTAATACATTCTTTATATTTTTCCTTTTTCTCTCTCTTTTTAAGTTGATTAAATTGGTGAAAAGTTATTGCTTGTTTGTCTCCATCCTCCACTCTAAAAAAATCAAATACAGCTCCTGGATTTCCTTACCTTTTCCATGGCTATTTTTATAGTTTCCCCCTTGCTTTTATTATTCCCTTGTGTGTTCTCCTGAGTGGTTCTTCTATTTTTTTTTTTTTTGCAGCTTTTTGGGTTGAAAATTTAGTTCAGTTTTTTTCTAGTTCAAATAAGGAAAGCATTTGAAAAAGTTTTGGTGATGGCCAGGCGCAGTGGCTCACACCTGTAATCCCAGCACTTTGGGAGGCCGAGGTGAGTGGATCACCTGAGGTCAGGAATTCAAGACCAGCCTGGCCAACATGGTGAAACCCCGTCTCTATTAAAAATACAAAAATTAGCTGGGCATGGTGGCAGGCGCTTGTAACCCCAGCTACTCTGGAGGCTGAGGCAGAAGAATCGCCTGAACCTGGGAGGTGGAGTTTGCAGTGATCCGAGATTGTGCCACTGCACTTCAGCCTGGGTAACAGAGCGAGACTCTGTCTCAAAAAAAAAAAAAAAAAAGAGTTTTGGTGATACCTCACACCTTGTGACTGACACTTTTATCATTCATTATAAATGCCCCTGTTTATCTTTCATGATCGTTTTTGTGTTAAAGTCAATTCTGTCTTAGTATTACTACACTGGCTTTCAAATGGTTGCTGTTGACATGATATATATTTTTACATTTTTTTACTTTCAACCCATTCATACTTTTGAATCTAAAATGTGCCTCCATATATAACATATAGTCAGATCTTGTTTTTTATCCAGTCTCATAATCTCTGCCTTTTGACTGGAGACTTTACATTAAATATTGATACAGTGGGTTTACCATTTTACTTTTCATTTTCTATGAATCTCCTGTCTTTTTTCCCTCTGTTTCTCCTGCTGTACTACTTTCTTTTGCATTAAGCAAATATTTCCTAGCATAACATTTTAATGCTTTCAATAATTATTTTCAGTATACATTTTTAGTTATTTTCTTAGTGGTTACTCTAAGACTTATCATATACTTATCAAAATCAACTTCAGATTTATACGAACTTAATCCCAGTGAAATGTACAAATGTTACTTCTGGATAGGTCTGTTATCTTCTCCCTGTTTGTGCTAGGATCATGTATTTTTGTACACATATAACATCTATATATGTTACAAACCCAATAATATATTGCTATATATATTACTTAATTTTACACCTACTAAAGAAGTTGAGAAAAGAAAGGAGAACAAGTCCCTATGTGCAGAGTTTATATGTTATCTGACTCACAAGTTCTGGTCCTCTTCAGCTGGTCCTATGGATTTGAGCTACTATCTGGTGTCATTTCCTTACTCCATTTAAGTTTTATTCCCACCTACCTCCTTTCTGCTTTTATTGTCCAATATGTTAGATTTCTATTTGTTACCCCACAATTATACAATTATGTATATAATCATTTTACACAATCGCTTTTTAAATCAGTTAAGAAAGCAAATAAAATATGCATTGATACTGTATTTTATAATTACCTAATTACCTTTACAGTGCTCCTTGCTTTTTCCTGTGGATTCTGACTACTGTCTGTAGTCACTTGCCTTCAGCTTGAAGAACTTCTTTTAGTATTTCCTGTAAGGTGGGTCTGCTAACAACAGATGATCTGTTTTTGTTTATCTGGCAATATCCTTATTTGCCTCTGCTTTTTGAAACACAGTATTGCTAGATGTAAGATTCTGGGTTGACACTCTTGTTCTTTCTTTGCACTTGTTCTGCCTTGCAGTTTGAATACAGTCATGTACTGTCTTCTCCATCTGGCACACCTGAGGTAGAGTCTTCCCCTTATGAGTGCGGTCTGGGTGGAGGAAAGGGCCCCAGCATCTTAGCCATAGTCACCAAGAACTTAGCTTCTGCAACTGAGAGTTGGCAGAAATGAGAGGGCTTGGTGGCCTGCACCTCCTGGTGGATGCCAGCTTCCTTCGCTGGGAGCTGAGAAGGAAAGAAGCGCTGCCTTCCTGGCCACACCTGCCTGGAGTGGAGCTTCCCTCAAGGGGAGGGAGCAGACTGTGCCTTCAGTGCTACAGATATTCCCTGCTCTTACTGAGAGTCAGATTTTCTTGAAGAATGTTTCTCCATTTGTCGTATGCCCTTAGAAGAATTTCCAGGGAGTTTAAGTGGTTGTTTTTAGATCATCTTCACCAGGATAGTGGTTTCCCTGGGGAATTGTCCGCAGGGCTCCTCAAGCTGGCCTTCCAGAAATGCACTCCTGCCTCATGCCTTTTGAGCAGGTTGTGTTCATGTTTTTATTACTCTTAAATATCATATAGTTGTAGTTTTGGTCTTCTCTCTAACCCAGTAAGTAAAAAGAGATTTAAAAACAATTGCCAAGTTGTTTTTTTGTCTAAAATTTAAAATTCCGTTCTTATATTTCTAATTGTATTATGTCATGATCAGAGACTATGGCCTGTATGTGAGTTTGCCAGGGCTGCTGTCACCAAGCACTGCAAACCGAGTGGCATAAACCACTGCAAGGCAGCGCCGCGCAGCTCTGGAGGCTACGAGTCTGGATGGAAGGTGTTAGCAGGGCCATGCTCCGTCTAAAAGGTTCTAGGGAAGACTAATTCTTTGCCTCCTCCTAGCTTGTAGAAGCATCATCCCGATCTGTGCTTTCATCTTGACACGGCATTTCCCTGAAGATGTGGTGTCTGTGCCCAAATCTCCCATTTTTATAAGAACACTGGTCATTTTGGATCAGGGCCCACCCCAGTGACCTCATCTTAACTAATTTTACCTGTACTGACTTCATCCCCAAATAAGGCCACATTGTGAGGTACTGGGGGTTAGGATGGTGACCTATGAATTTCTAGTGAGTGGTTGGGGGAGGCACAGTCCAACACATAACAGCTTGTAAAAATTTTGTTTTCTAAAATGGAGAATTTTCGTGGTCTGATATATGATACCTTTTTGCAAATATTTCTTAAATAGCCTAAGAGAGTGTTGTTATTTTTATTACTATTATTATTATTACTAGTAAATAGACTTGATTTTAGAGCAGTTTTAGGTTGATAGCAAAATTGAGCAGAAAGTACAGAGTCCCTATACACCACCTGCCCCCACACAGACACAGCCCTCCACTACTAATATCCAGCACCAGAGGAGTATGTTTGTTACAAACAATGACCTACATTGACACCTCATTATCCCCCGAAGTCCGTAGTTTAGGGGTCACTCTTGGGTTGTACATTCCATGGGTTTTGACAACTGTGTAATCCCTTGCATCTACCATTAGAGTGTAACACAGAGTAGTTTCACTGCTGTGCTATACCTTTTATCTCTTCCTCTGTCTAATCCCTGGCAACCAGTGATCTTTTTCTTGTCTCCATCGTTATGCCTTTTCCAGAATGTCATGTAATTGCAATCATATGCGGGCTTTTCATTTGGCTTCTTTCACTTAGTGATATGTATTTGAGGTTCTTCCATGGCTTCTTGTGACTTAATAGCTCATTTCTTGTTAGCACTGAATAATTTCCCTTGTCTGATTCACATCAGTTACTTATCCATCCACTTTCTGAAGGACGTCTTGGTAACTTCCAAGTTTTGGCAATTCTGAGTAAAGCTGCCGTAAACATTCGTGTGCAGGTTTTGGTGTGGACGTAAGTTTTCAACTCCTTCGGGTAAATATCAAGGAGCACAGTTGCTGGATCATATGGTAACAGTGCATTTGGTTTTTAAACTGACTGCTAAACTGTCTTCCCGACTGGCTGTGCCATTTTGCGTTCCCGCAGCAATGACTGAGAGTTCCTGTTGCTCCACATCCATCCCAGCATCTGGCATCATCAGTGTTGTGGATTTTTGTTGTTTAGTAGCTGTGCAGTGGTATCTCATTGCTGTTTTAGTCTTTTATTCTCTAATGACAAATGACATTGCGCACTGTTTCAGGTGCTTACTTGCCATCTGTCTGTCTTCTTTGGTGATGTGTCTATTTCTGTCTTTTGCCCAGTTTTTAGTGGTTGTTTGTTTTCTTATTGTTGAGTTTTGAGAGTTCTTTGTATATTTTGGACACCTGTTCTTTGTCAGATATATCTTTTGCAAACGTTTTCTCCCCAAAACAGTGATTTAATGGGGAGTGGTGGAATGGAGTTAGTATCAAAATCACTGGTAGAGCTTTAACTGTATATAGAGGGAGGATACAAGGGTCTTATTCCAAACCTGCCAAACTGGAACCTTCATGGGCGTGCCTGGGCATGTGAATTTTACAAGCCTGGAGGCAGGGGAGTGGTGGAAGATGGAGGGACTGGATAGGTGCAGGAGCTCTGGACTGAGCGAGTCATGGGATGGAAAAGGGAGGTGTCAAGAATGACTCTTGGGTTCTTGGATTGAACCAAATGGCTGCCAGGAGAAGTTGTTTACTGAAATGGAGAACCCTGGAGGAAGAGCAGGTCTAGGTGAACGATTAAGAGTTCAGTTTCAAATATGTTGAATTTGAGAAGCCAGAAGACATCCAAGTGCAGATGCCAAGCAGGCAGAGGAGTGACCAATGGATCTGAATCCCAGAGGAGTTTGGCTGGAGAGGCCGATTTGGTTGGGGGGTGACATACCTGAAGATGGCCCTTGGAAGCCTGTGAGATCAGCTGAGCACGCAATGTAAGCTGAGGAGAGAAGAGGGCCTGGTACAGAGCCAGAGGTGCTGGGTATTTTAAGGTTAGGTGAGAAAGGAGATGGAAAAAGAGCCGTCAGAGAAGTAAGAGTCGAATTAGGAGGGTGCAGAGTCAGAAGCCAAAACAAGATAATGGCTTAAGTGGGGAGCTACGCTGAGTCTGGGAGGAGGCAGCGTCAGGGAGCCCACTCTGAAGTCTCGTTGAGATGGAGACCTGAGGGACAGAGAGGACTTAGCCAGGTTGGGGACAGGGTTTGTGCAGGGCGTGGCTCGGAGTAGGGGCTGGGGGCGTGGGACGGGGCAGGAATCACGGCATTCCCTGGGAGGAACAGCAGGTGGCAAGGCCTCTGTGGCTGGCTCACCTGAGGGCGGGTGTTTTGGAGTCTATGATGCTTAGGATGCCACATCCTCGGGGACCTGATCAGGCATCCTTGGGTCTCTGTTCGAGCCCCTGCAAGAGCTGAAGGTTTGGTGCCCTCACCTTGGGGTCTGCCTGATGGTGAAAAGCCATGTGGGGAGTGGGTTGATTTGCTTGGGCTACCATGTCAAAGCTCCGCAGACTGGGGCTTCAGAAACAGATGGTTATCATCTCTCAGTTCTGGAGGCTGGAAGTCCAAGATCAGGGTGTCAGCAGCGTCAGCTTCTCCTGCAGCCTCTCTCCTGGGCTTGCAGACGGCTCTCCACCCTCTATGTCCTCGCATGGTCATTGCCCAAATCTCCTCTTCTTAGAAGGACACCAGTCAGATTGGATTAGGGTCCATCTCAATGACCTCATTTTGCCTTAATCACCTATGTAAAGGCCACATCTCCAAACACAGTCCCATTCAGAGGTACAGGGGATGAGGGTTTCAGCATTTGAATTTTAGGGGACACAGTTCAGCCCCTAATAGGGAGCGAGGCTCCATGAGCCCCAGGCACCATGGGGATCAAGCATGTGGGGAGCATTTTGAGGGCCTCAGACCCCCAGTGAACCTGTGCAGTCCTGGAGGTGGGCTCCTGCCTCCCCAGCACCAGGGGGACCACTCTGATTCCCCCCTCCCTCCCGCCCACAGGCTCCCTGGTCGGCCAGAGACTCTCAGACCATCCTGATGTGAGGAAAATCGGGTTCACAGGCTCCACAGAGGTGGGCAAGCACATCATGAAAAGGTGCGTGGCTGGGGGTGGAGCAGAGGAGGGGCTGCTGTGGGCTGCGCCTGGGACATGGCAGTGCTGTCCCAGGAGCTGTGTCCTGCTTCCCAGGCTCCAGGGCACAGCCACTTCCGTGGCCCTGCTGGGCTCTATGCAAACGCTGAAGAGGCATCTGCCTTTCTGGCAAAGCCCCGGGGAGGCCTGGGCGGAGACCTGTGGAGCCCTGTCAGACCAGCAAGGGGCTGGATCGAGAGGTGCTGAGAGTATAAAACACGCATGGATTTCAAGAACTGAGCACCCACAAAAAAGTGAAATAGCTCATTAATAGGATGTTTGGGGTTTTTTTTTGTTTTGTTGTTGTTTTTTTTTTTGAGACAGGGTCTTGATCTGTCACTCATGGTGGAGTGCAGTGGCACCATCATAGCTCACTGTAGCCTTGACTTCCTGGGCTCAAGTGATGCTCCTCAGCCTCCCAAGTAGCTGGGACTACAGGCATGCACCACCAAGCCCAGCTAATTTTTTGTGTTTTTCATAGAGATGGGGTCTCATGGTGTTGCCCAGACTGGTCTCAAACTCCTGGGCTCAAGCAATCCACCTGACTCGGCCTCCCATCTCCGTGCTGGGATGACTGACGTGAGCCACTGTGCTCTGCCTTCATTAAGTTTTTATATTGATTTCAAGTTGAAATGATAATATTCTTGATTAGTTGGGTTAAATAAAATATAATAAAATATACTATTAGGATTAATTTCACCTGCTTCTTTTCAGGTTTTTTTTTTTTTTCAATGGAGTCTCACAGTGTCACCCAGGCTGGAGTGCAGTGTCGTGATCATGGCTGCAGCCTCTGCCTCCCTGGCTCATGCGATCCTCCTACCTTAGCCTCCTGAGTAGCTGGGACTACAGACACGTGCCACCATACCTGGATAAGTTTTTAAATTTTTTGTAGAGATGGGGTTTTGCTATGTTGCCCAGCCTGGTCTCGAACTCCTTTAATGTGGCTACCATCAAAAAAAGTCCCATTGTCTATGTGGCTACTGTTTGAAGCTTTCATTCTATTTCTATGGACAGAAGTGATCTAGGTCAACTCATGTCTTCATCCTTGGACTTTGGCCTCAAATTGACTGGTGTCATCTCCCAGACTCTGTCACTAAACCACAATATGACCTGGGCCACACCCATGCCTTGGGTCCCCCACCAGTTCCATTACAGCAGTTTGATAGTGCAGGGGTTCTGGTCTCCATCACTGACAAGCTGGGAGAGCCAGCCAGGGCCAGACCACAGGTGGAGCCCTGACTGACACTGGAGCCTGCCCCAGCCCTGACACTGAACTTCTGGGGGTGGGTTTTGGCACCTGCACTTTGAGTGACGTGGGTAGGGGAATGGGGTAACTGCAAGTAGTCACTGCAGGTTTGCCTCTCCTAATTCAAAAGCTAGCTGGTCTCTTCCTCTGAGGTGTGTAGGTTGTAGCCATGTCTGAGCACATGTGAGTCAAGTCCAGGGTGAGGGCTCAGGAAATGTCAGCTCTGAGCACTCCAGAGCTGGACAGAGGGTTTGGGGGGCAAGATATGTTGATCTGCCTCACCATGGTAACCATTTTACCATCAATATGTAGTTCATGCTATAACCAGGCATGTGGTGGCACGTGCCTGTAGTCCCAGCTACTCGGGAGGCTGAGGTGGAAGAAGCCTGGGACACGGAAGCTAAATGAGCCGAGATCACGCACTGCACTCCAGCCTGGGCAACAAAGAAAGCCTGGCTCAAATAAATAAATAAATAAATAGAACAGAACAAAAAAAAAAGTACCTCAATTTGAACATTTTATTTAAAAAAATAAATACTAGGCTGGGCATGGTGGCTCACACCTGGAATCCCAGCACTTTGGGGAGACTGAGGCCAGCTGGTCACTTGAGGCCAGGAGTTTGAGACCACCCTGGCCAACATGGTGAAACCCCATCTCTACAAAAAATACAAAAAAAAAAAAAAATAGCCAGGTGTGGTGGTATATGCCTATATTCCCAGCTACTCTAGAGGCTGAGGCAGGAGAATCGCTTGAATCCGGAAGGCGGAGGTTACAGTAAGCTGAGATCACACCACTGTACTCCAGCCTGGGCAACAGAGTGTGACTCTATCTCAAAGGAAAAAAAAAAAGGCTGGGTGCTGTGGCTCATGCCTGTAATCCCAGCATTTTGGGAGGCCGAGGTGGGCAGATCACCTGAGGTCAGGAGTTCAAGACCAGCCTGACCAACATGGTGAAACCCCGTCCCTACTGAAAATACAAAAATTAGCCGGGCGTGGTGGCACGTGCCTGTAATCCCAGCTACTCGGGAGGCTGAGGTAGAAGAATCGCTTGAACCCGGGAGGTGGAGGTTGCATGAGCCAAGATCATGCCATTGCACCCCAGCCGGGGTGACAAGAGTGAGACTCCATCTAAAAACAAAACAAAACAAAACAAAACAAACAAACAAAACTAAAAAACGAAATCATGCTATGAACCTCAAATATACACAGTAAAATTTATTAAAAAAAAAAAAAAAAGAAGAGCAAAGCAGAGCTCTGAGCAGCTTCCTGCCCCAGCATCCCTGGTTCTGCTGCTTTCTTCTTCCCAGGCAGCCGTGTCACACAGACCTGCAGCTGAGATGGGTGCCATCTCCCTGGGTTGCTTCTGCAGAGGAGGCCTCTCCTCCCCAGTGGAGCCTCCTACCTGCCGGCTATTGACTGAGTGTCCAGCTGAGGACAGCATCCCTGCAGTGCATTTCTTGCCCACTGATGTGATGTGTTCATGACTCCCAGCCTCTCTGTTTGCTCTGCCACTAATACAAGGAGGTGCCCCAGCCTCTGGGCCCCTGCAGCTGTGCCAGCGGATGGTGCTGTTTTGTATTCCTTAATTTGTGCAGCACCAGCTGCGTGCAGGCACTGTGCTTGGCACCGGGGCTGTAATAGGACCCAGACAGATGCGTGCCTGCCCTGGCCAGGCTCATGCTCTGCAGGTGGGGTCAGAGGTCAACATGCAGTAGAGGAAAGGACAGCAGATGGGGTGCACAGGCAGGCTGTGGTTTTATACGGGGCGATCAGGGAGGCACCCCAGAGAAGGGAACACAGGCCTGCAGGAAATGAGGTGTGGAGTGGGCAGCAGGAAGGGCAGTCCAGGGGGCAGTGGGGCACAGGCCTGGTGTGTACAGGCCAGAAAGGAAAGGCAGGTGGCCGTGTGAAGCCGCAAGGGGTGGGGGGGAGTGGGGAGGCACTGGCCGGGTCTTGCTTCTTGCAGCAAAGCATGCTTTGGGCCTACCCAGGTCCCTGCCACCTGGGGTCCCAATGCCCCTACCTGCCCTGGAGGGACCGGCCCCACCAGCCCTCTGTTCCTTGCAGCTGTGCCATAAGTAACGTGAAGAAGGTGTCCCTGGAACTGGGCGGGAAGTCACCCCTCATCATCTTTGCTGACTGTGACCTCAACAAGGCTGTGCAGATGGTGAGGGCCGGGCCTGGAGGGGGCAGGGACAGTGAGCGGGAACAGGGACTGTAGGGACCAGGAGGCCCTGTCTCTGATTCCACAGCCACACTCACACGTGTAGCCCTGGTGGAGTCCATAGCGTCATCACAAGCATAGCGTGGCAGGCAGCAGGCTTAGGGAAGAATGACGTGTGCCCTCCAAACATACTTCCCAAGAAGTTTCATAGCTGCCAGGATAGCTGAGATCAACTGCCTATAACATATGTGTGTGTGTGTATTACATATAAATATGAAATTGGGAAACACACGCCACAGCTCCATCTGTTCTGAAATAAACATTGCAGCCTTTTCTGTCTGATGAGAGGGCAAATCAGATGTGTTGATCTGCTTCACTATGGTAACCATTTTACCATCTATATGTAATCCATAACTTCATGCTGTAAACCTCAAATATACACAATAAAATGTGTGTTTTTAAAATAAAAGAGCAAAGCAGAACTCTGAGCACTTGGGCCCAGCCCTGCTGACAGTGACCCTCTACCGGTGGCCGTGGGTGCAGTGCCTGGCTCCACCACTGACTTAGTGGGCAGCCTTGAGCAAGTTACCTAACCTCTGTGGCGTCTGTGCTCCCACCTGTGGATAGGGACCATGGTGATACCCACCTCCCGGGTGGCTGCAGAATGAATATGTCTGAAGGGCTTAGGTTAGTGGCAAGTGCCACTTGAGACATGTGTCAGTCCTTGTTCTCACCATTAGTATTGTTGTTGCCTTGGTCCTGTCCTGACTCCTGTGGGAGCAAACCAGTAAGACCATGTTCAGCCAGGTCCCCAAATATGCCCCCGGCCCTATCTAAGTTCCACTGTGCCGTGGAGGGTGGCCTAACACCCTAGCTTGGGTGTGAAAGGGAGTCCAACCTCATTTGGTGGAGAAACTGAGGGAGGCAAGGGCCTTGTTCACGGGCCCGGGTGAACCCATCAGCACGGGGATCTAGCTGGGCCCTGTGCTGAGCTGGAGGTCGGGGCCCTGTCATTGGCTGTGCAGTCCCAGGTTCCAGGAGAGCCAGGCTTGACCATGGCTCTCCGTCCTCCCCTGGGTCTCCCACAGCAGGCGAGTTTGAAAAAGCAGGCTGCCTGGGGCCTCTGAGGGCCTTTGTTCTGGACTCCTGCCAGGAGTTCCCTGGGCCAGGGCTGCCCCACCTCTCACCCACCCATGTCGGGGCTGCCTGCCTGTGTCCCACCCTCTGCCCTGTCACCCACCGCCTGCTCCATGCTTACACACACGGCTGGCATCTCTCCTGTCAGCTCCCAAGAGTGTAGACTCTGAAACAGGAGTCGGCACCTCCTGGGCCGCCCCAGTGAGCCACCCAGGGTGCAGGAGGGTCTCAGGCAGGCCAAGGCTCACTCCCACTTGGTCCCCATGCTCTGCAGTGTGGATGGCAGCCTTATCCTCCAGTGGTGGGAGTTGGGGCGTGGTGTCTCTCTGTCACTGCATGGGCCTCAGCGTCTTCACTTCCCACACAGTTACCTCTCACCTCTCCTCTTGAGGTGACTGAGGATTGAGTGGGGCCCACAGGAGGAGATCAGGACACATGGGTGCCTCCTTTCCTAATTAGAAGAGGCGGCTGGGCCCTGGCAGAGCCGGGGGCTGGTGTCCCAGGAGGAGCAGTGACCTGGTGTTCTTGTCCATTCTCTGAAGGGGATGAGTTCTGTTTTCTTCAACAAAGGAGAGAATTGCATTGCAGCAGGCCGACTCTTTGTGGAGGACTCCATTCATGATGAGTTCGTGCGGAGAGTGGTAAGTCCTGCCCCAGGGTCTGCGGGCGGCTGGTTCACTGGGACAGCAGCGCCTGGCTGGAGGGGGTTGGAGGAGGGGAGACAGGGCAGGGTCAAGTGAGGCTGGGCTCCTCCTGGAGGACACTCCCCCCGGGGGTCAGGGAACCCACAGCGGGAGCTGTGCTGAGTCTTCACTGGATTTTATTATTTCACCAAGAAATAGCAGACCTGTAGCAAAACTGACATCACCAAAAAGGGCCCATCTTGGGTTGGTCCCCTAGAAATAGAGCCTGGGGCAAGAATTCAGTGCAGGTGATTTACTCAGAGTGGACTCTTGGGTGAAGCCTGGAAAGAGAAGAGACCAGGGGAGGACTGGACAGAATGGAGCAAGAGCCTGGTCTCAGGTCAGCCTGGGCCTGACCATGGACAGGGGCCCTGGAGCACGAATCCCCCTACACAGGCATACCCCTGGAGCCAAGTGGCCAGGCTGTGGGCCCCTGTGGCAGGTAGGCTTGGCTGTGGGCCGCCAGCAGGGGAGAGTAGCTCCCGTCAGGCTCTGCAGCCACCTTGCATGGCCTCGGGGATCTGGTGGGCACAGGACAGTGTCTCCCACCAGATTTATCCACTCAGCCACACCTGGAAGAGCAGGCTTGATGCTGGCCTCGGGACAGATGGGCCATCCTGAGTCCCCTTGGGAGGTTTGTAATGCCTGGCTTCTCAGTTCCTCAGCGGGTTGGCTTCATCCTCTCCAAGCAGCTCGGATATGGTGGGAGTATGGGGCTGATGGCACCAGCATTACCTTCTCACCACATGGTGCCAGAGTGGGACATGACTCCTTCCTCACCACCTCTGTTAGAAAACACTGTGGGGTTGACACGAGCCAGGCCTCAGCCATCCTTCATCCAGGCCATGATACCAGGGGGGGAGCAAGCTGAGGTTGGCTTAGCTTCCGCGAAGAGCACCGCCCCCCACCGCCCCTAGGTTGTGGAGAGCAGCATCTAATCCCAGTGGATAGTGGCAGGGATGCGGGAGAAACAGCCAGCAACCGCCACACATGGTTTCAGAGAGATGGTACCTGGGAAACCAGGGAAAAAGACGGCCTATGAGCAGAGGGGTGAGGGAGGGGCCCCTGGAGGAGAGCTGGTGCTGGACCTGGGGAGGTGGCTCAGAGTCCGGAAGCAGTGGGAAAAGGAAGGACTTTCTAGGACGGGCTAGAACAGTTTTTGCCATATAACGACCCTCAACACGGAGTGGCTGGAAATGAAGCCCTGCCCTCAGCTCATGTTTCTGTGGGCAGCAGTGGCAGTCTAGGCTGGGGTTTGTTGGGGCTCATCTGGGTTTGTCAGAGCTTGCCCAAACATCTGCAGTGAGACTCAGGGGCAGCGGGGCAGCGGGTGGCTTCGTGGGACAGCTGTCGTTGCCCTGGGGGCCTGCATTCTGCAGCGTGTGCTGGGACATGTTCACGTGGACAGTGGAAAGACTCCTAAGAGTGAGAGCACAAGTTGAGAGGCCTCTTGAAATGCACGAAACATTGCTTCCATGCATTGTGCTGCCTAAGCAAGTCACAGGCCGGCCCAGATTCAAGGGGTGAGGAAACAGACTCTACCACGTGATGGGAGGCACAAGCTCATCTTCCATAGTTGGGGAGCTGGCCTGCCCGGCCAAGTGAGGCCCACTGCCACGATGGGCCCGGCACAGGAATAGCAGGACCAGGATACAGACCCAGGGACTACTGGAGATAAAGTGGCGGTCATGGGGGGAGTGTGACTGCGGGGACACAGAGCTGTGCACACAAGGTCCTGTCTGGGGGTCTTAAGGGAGTCATGAGACTTCCACAGAAGGGTGACTGCAAGGGCCAGAGTCCCAGGGATAATTCTCAGGACAGTCACAATCCCAAATAAAGGAAGTGAGGCCAGTGTTCAGGAGGCTCAGTAGGCTGCTTGTTCTTTGTATCCAAGATACAAAGCCATTTGATCGGGGTGCGGTTTGGGGCGACAGGACAGGAGCAGAGAATAAGGAACAAAAGCAACCGGGTTTGGCTACAGGGTGGAGACAGGACAGTCAGAGGCACACAGTGGGCCCTGGTGAGAAGAGCAGAGGGGTGTGCCGGGTGCTCGAGTCACACCTGTGTCTGATTAGGGCTGATTAGGGGTGCAGAGTTTGCAAGATGTGAGATGCCCTGGCCTTGGAGGAGGAGGGTCAGCAGACTAGAGCCTTGGGCCCCTCCCCTTCACTTAATTTCTTTCCCACTTTGGCACCAGGACTATTGCAGCAGGGCTGGTGTATCCCACCTACCGCACATCCTGGAGTCCCCCGGACAAACAGTTCCTTCAGCTTCTTGGTCCATGAGGCTGGTGCAGGACCAGAGTCAGATACGTGTTGTATTGAGCCCCATCTCAACTAGTCAAATATGCCGGCCTCTGTCCTCCTCACCCACACCCCTGTATGTCTCCATTTCCAGCCCATATGTTGCTGGGCTCCTGTCTCCTTGGAGACTTCTGTCCCTCTACACATAGGAGCCATTTGGGATTTCAGCCTGGAAGGTGGATTTAGAGTCAGAATTCAGAAAGCCCTGAGGCTAGAACAGAGTGTGGACTTTCCCCAGGGGTCAGCCATGAGAGCTGAGTCAGGTGAGGATCATTGTCAGAAACTGTGGCAGCACAAGCCACACCTGACTTGGAGGACTTTCTGCAGGTAGAAGAGGTGCGGAAGATGAAGGTGGGCAACCCGCTGGACAGGGACACCGACCACGGGCCGCAGAATCACCATGCCCACCTTGTGAAGCTGATGGAGTACTGCCAGCATGGCGTGAAGGAAGGGGCCACACTGGTCTGCGGCGGGAATCAGGTCCCTCGGCCAGGTGAGTCAGAGTGTGTCAGGTCCGCTTGGGTCAATTGAGGCAGCAGGTCCCATGGCCTCTGGTTCCCTGTCCAGCTGAACTGGAGACATCTGAAGGCCAGGTACCTACACAGTCAGGCTGCAGCCCCATCTGGGACCTGGGATGGACTGGGCTGTGGCTATTTGGGCACCAGCCAGACCCGGGGATGGGACGAGCATTATTCAGTGCTGGTTTATTCAGTATTGAACTGGACTCTGACTTGCCCTTACTGTCACCGCAGCCTTGACAGTCTCTCCCCCATAGATTTCATGAGACTAGATTTTATTATTTTTCCTCTATTTCACTGGCTGTTAACCTCTCAGCCGTTGCTTCACCTGTTCTCTCAATGCAGGTGCATCCCTGCCTATCCTTAGCTTGGAACACCTCTCATGGGGGACTTTTTGCCCGCAGGATCTCTCCCCTGCAGCAGCTCAGACCCTACCAGATACAGGCCTCCAGGCTCCACCCCACCCAGAGCTCCTGACCGCACAGCCAGCGGCACTGGACACTTCCACCTGGATGTCCCCCAGGCCCTTCAAACTCAAAGGTCATTGCAATGTCCCAGCTATAGTTGAGCCCAGACACACACACCTGCTGCTCCAGGACCCTCTGTCTGATCGAGCAGTCCAGGCCAGAAGCGCAGCAGCCACGGGGATGGACCGTTGACGCTGCTGCTGGGGGACAGGTGCCATGACTGTCTTCCTCACCCCTAGCTCCTTTGTGCCTAGACCGGGCCTTGCACAGAGTTGGTGCTCAGTTAATTTGATGGCATGAAGGAGGGAAGGAAAGAAGGAATCCCTGACTCTTCTCTTTCTGTGACCCTCATTTAAATTATTGGCCTGATTCTGTCAAATCTGAGAATTGTCCCACTCTGGGCCTCCTCTGCCTCCCTGACCCTTGTGCGGGCTCCCTACATCTTGCCTCGCTCAGTGTCACAGCAGCCTCCCAAGTGGCCTTGTGAGCCTGCTGATCCTTTATTCACACAGCTGCCAGGGTCTGGTGACCTCTCCTCTGTTAAGACCTTGCAGCAGTGACCCATCCTCCTGCAGTGCAAGTTCGGACTCCTTGACCTCACAGCCGGAGTCCTTCATGATCTGTGCCTGACTTGCCCTTGACCTGTACTGCAGCTGCATTTCATTCTCTCCAGAGGCTTCTCCTGCTTTCTTGGGCTCCATGCATTTGCTGCTGCTCGGCTTAGTGGAGGCTTTCCAGTGTCCCCACCTGGAGAGCTCCTGCTTCTTCAGCTCACAGGACATCCAAGCCCGGGCATGCCCGTGTCACAGGGCATCGGGCACCGCACACCTCAACAGAGCTCTCGTGACCATTGCACTGCTGCTGTCACTGTCCACTTACCCTCTTCCCACTCCCGCTGGACTGTGAGTTCCATGAGGCAGGTGGGGTTGGGGGAGCATCACCAGGACCCTTGCAGTGCAAGGATGGCCGGGTTCAGGATTGGTGGAAGACAGTGTGATGGAGGCCTTGTACCAGGAGCAGGGCTAGGGAGCCAGCAAGGGGTAGAGCAGCACCCAGGAACCAGGAACAGTGGGGAGCCATCACCCCGCCCTGGAGGGGGTATGAGAAGGAACAGAATTCCTGCAGCCCAGTGAGGGGCAGAGCATGGGATGGGGCTGCCTTCTGGTGGCCCAATGACCAGGAGACCAGCTCTCAGGGTCTAGAGGGGACAGGGGAGAGTACAAGGTAGATGGGGAGGGGATGACAGAGGGGTGGTCAGCATGGCTCACATGCCCTGGCAGAAGTGGTGCAAGACTGTGGAGTAAACACAGGCCACATAAACCACTATGCATGTACATGAGTCACATTTTCAGAATTGTAATCAGTGTTAAAACATCATTTATGTATGTATGAAAAATATTGAACATTTTATTAAATAACTTTTTAACATGGTTTGAAATTTTCTATTTCTCTAAAAACTAGAGTGAGAAAATTCCCAGTCTCTTGATTATTCCTAAGTTAGGCAGGATTGAATCTCAGTGAGGTCAGGCAGGATTGACCTCAGTGCAGCAGGTCTTAGGGCTCTGTCTCTAGAGAAAACAGAGAGGAAGCATTTCAGTTGTCAGAAGTGCTTCTGCCCTGGCAACCAGGGCCTGTAGGGGCTGCATCCAGGGTTGGGAGTAGGTGGTCCCTTCTTGACTGGAGAGCATGGAGCTGGGCCTTGGTAGGGACCCTGGGAGGGCAGAGGGAGGAAGCCCCAGGAGGTCCCAGTGCCCAGAGCTCCTCCCCTCTCACCTCCTCCTACTCCACGGGTTGTAGCCACCAGGGTCAGTGGCAGAGCTGCCTGGGAGGTTTCACCTGCCAAAGAATCTAGGTGGTTTTAGATTAGCTGTCACCAGAAAAGCTCAAGTCTTTGCTTCGGCCATGGGTTCTGGCACTAGGATTGGATGGACTTGGGATCAGGTCTCAGCTCTGTCACCTGCCAACCGGCGGCCCCATTTCCCTCAACAGCACTCCGTTAAAAGCACGGTGAGACCCACATCAAAGAACAAGCCAGGTGGGAGAGCCATCTGCAGCGTGGTGACACCCATCACACGGGTGCCGTGACCCGGTGCTTATGTCGGGTCATCCGCAGGTGGCTGGTGTGGCCCAGGCCCTGCTGACGGAGAGGCTGGACCATCGGGCACCGTGTCTCCCATGTGCAACGGGCTTTTATCTCTCTTGCAGGGTTCTTCTTTGAGCCAACTGTTTTCACAGACGTGGAAGACCACATGTTCATAGCCAAGGAGGAGTCCTTCGGGCCTGTCATGATCATCTCTCGGTTTGCTGATGGGTAGGGAATCCTGCTGATGTCTCAAGGGCCCTGACTCTCTCCCACGTGTTACTGGGGTCTTCATGTGGGCTTTGGGAGGTAGTCTACGGGCAGTCAGGAGGAGAACTCAGGCAGGGCGCAAGCCGTGGACACCCCGCTTGTGCCGCCTGCTGAGTCTCCACACCCCTGAGAAGAGAGCCCAGTGACCTGGGGCTTTGAGTCCCCCCTGTGAGCAAAGGCAGCTCCCTTCCCTGTCCTTGTCACTTGTCACATGCTCCAGCATGTTTCTCACAGCCCGCTGGGCTCTGTTCTAAGGTCTGTTACCATGCATTAAACCACCCCCCACACTGAGTGGCTTGGAATAATCAGAGATTTATTTTAGTCACGGTCTAGGTTCAATGAGGCAAACCCATCTCTGCTCCATGCAGTGTCTGGCCTCAGCTGGGGTGACAGAGTGGCTATCCTGATGCTGCTGGGGGTCTTGCGGGAGGCTTCCTCCGCGTGGCAGCCTCGGGGTTGCCGAGGCACCTGGTTCCCTTCGGAGGCCAGGTGGAAGCCAAAAGGCTCTTTATAATCTAGCTCTTTAGAATCCCAGAGCATCCCTTCCACCACGGCCTGTTGATGAAGCAAGTCACCCAGACCAGGCTGGGCTGGAAGGGAAAAACTGTACTCCACTCACAGTGGGGCCACTGAGGCCCATGCTGTCACTTCTCAGGCCTGCCCCTTGTCTCCGTAGCACCTTGGAGCAAATTGCAAAATCGTGCCTCGTCCTCACATTTTACTATCCAACTACCAAAAAAACCCCAGAAATTATCATCGTATGTCAGTGGTATTAGAATAAGAGACTTCACTGCCACCTAGCCAATAAATATGGTTGTAGTAAGTCTCCAAATCGCTGATGTCTGGTGAATGCCCAACCTGCGGCGGGCACATGTGGGTCCTTCTGCATGTGAGGACCCAGCGGCCCCTCTCTGGGCCCCTGCTCCCAGTCTGTGGAATAAAGGGCTCACCCGATGATCCAGGAGCCCCTGTGGTGGCCACCTGCCCATGGGCCTCTGCCCTTCCTCCTCGCTCGCAGCCCAACCCAACCCAATCTTGCCCCCGGCGCTGCAGCCCGGCACATTTTCTCCTCGGAAGGTCTTATGCAGCTGGGGTGTGGAGTGGGCCGGGGTGTGGAGTGGGCCAGGCTCTCCTCTGCACCTCCCTCAGGGAGTTCTTCCTGGACTTTCTCTCCAGGGACTTGGATGCCGTGCTGTCTCGGGCCAATGCCACGGAATTTGGCCTGGCTTCTGGTGTCTTCACCAGGGACATCAACAAGGCCCTGTATGTCAGTGACAAGCTCCAGGCAGGCACTGTGTTTGTCAACACGTACAACAAGACCGACGTGGCCGCTCCCTTCGGAGGATTCAAACAGTCTGGATTTGGCAAAGATCTAGGTAACCTACTCCTGCCTGTGGGGTTGCTTTCATTTATTCATTCAACAAACATCTGTTCAAAACCACTTAGGGCCAGGTCCTATCTCAGATGCAGGGACGTAGCCTTGAACATGATGGCTGTCAGGGTTCGCTTCTTACTGGGAGGGAACTTGTGACAAGTCCGTGAGCAAGATGCTTGCAGAGGGGGGTCGTGCTGGGAAGAAGGCAAGAAGAGGGGCCTGGAGGAGACACTCCAGCCAGGAGGCACTGGGGGCCTCTCTGGTGTGGTGGCACCTGTGCTACCCAGACCTGCATAGCAGGGAGGAGTTGGCCATGAAGACCCAGGGGCCCGTGTTTCTGGCTGAGGGTTCAGCAGGTCCTTGGGGGAACCAGCTTTGGTCGTGGAGCTGCAGAGAGGCCAGAGTGGTGGGAGTGGGCCAAGGGGGAGCAGGAGGGAGGAGAGAAGGCCTGAGAGGCAGGTAGGGGCCAGATTGAAGGCCCATGGGCCATGGTCAGGGGCTCAGGTTGCATCCTTAGTGTAAAGAGGAGCCATGGGACCAAATGTACCCCCGGGTGAACACCACGGGTGTTGCAAGTCTCCCAGTAGAGGTGAAGTTACTCAGGCGGCAGCAGGCGGGGTCCACCGGCACATAGCAGGCGGGGTCCCCCGGCACACAGCACAGGCTCCCCAGTGCTCTGCCTGCTGGGTGGCATGGAGTTCTGCTCCGGCCCTCTCTCCCTGGGCTGCTCCAAGCCTTGGGCCTCGTCCTGCTCTCTCAGCAGGGGGGACTAGACAGGTCTGATGGGCAAGCTTGGCAAGGGTGGCTGGCAAGGTCCGGGGAAGCCATATGCTGTCTCAGAGGTCCCACCTGTCTCTCCAGGCTCCTGTGCCAGCCCAGAGACCACAGGGAAGGTCATGCTGAGGCTGGGGGTCAAAGGCTGGTCACTGTTTCCAGTTTTCTCTCCTCCCCCTGCCCCCATCTTTCAAGCCCTGCAGAAGCCCCCAAGGGTACCCATGAGAGGGGCCCATGTGTGCCCACAGGGCTGGACTCACATGCACGCATGTGTAGGCTGGACACTCCTGCTTCCTCTGTCCCTGTCGGCCTCCTCTTCCTGCCTTCTCCCAGGCCACCTTCCTGGTGTCCACCAGGGGAATCCATGAGGCCCATGGCCACCCAGGGAAGGCTGTGGCTGCCAAGTCCCCAGGACGTGATCTGGGCCCCTTATGAATCCTCCCCGAGTTCCCTCAGCTCCCTCCTAACCCTAGTCCCCATGTCCTGCTGAGAGGACCAGCACCCTCCTGGGACAGGCCCACAAGCCAAGCCTTCCAAGCAGCCTGCCTGGGCAGACTCAGGACCTCAGAGGGACGGGGCAGTGCCACTCCTGGGGCCAGCCAGAGCTGCTGGGGAGCTGTCAGGCAGCCCCAGGCCTCACACTTGTCATGGGGCTGAGATGCACCAGCCACATAGCACTGCCAAGGCCTGGGGCCTCAGGGCCCTGCGAGGCATCCCCTTTTCCCAGCCACAGCTTGATGCAGACGTAGCTGGGGGCAGCCATGAGAGAAGAGATGGGCCAGTGAGTCTGGGCAGTAACGCCAAGTCTCTCCACCCCCTTCCACCTGAAGGGGCTTCCCACTGTCCAGACAAGGCGGTGGGAGCTGGGGAAGATTCTTAAATGGCTGCCTCAGATTGGCTTTGTATTCTGGGGAGTCCTGGCCCACTATCCACTGCCAGGGATAACCTGGGTAAGATTCATGACCTCGCTGGGCCTCGACTTCTCACCTGGAAGTGGGGTGAGCCAGAGCTGCCCCCACGTGGTTGCTGAGGAATAAGACACTTGCAGCCCCGAGCAGTGCCCTGCCTGTGGTGGGAGCTGCTGTGACCTTTGTGGTGTCTTACAGGAGAGGCGGCTCTGAACGAGTACCTGCGGGTCAAGACAGTGACCTTCGAATACTGAAGAAAGGTCTTTGTGAGAAGAAAGTCCCTGCCCCTCCCTCGTGGCTGGGGCCCCCTCCCTCTTGAGCCTGGGTGCACAGCACCTCCCACCTGGGGGGCTAGTGGAAGCCCTCCTGCCTGCACACCATGTCTGCATCTTGGACGCCCTCTGTCCAGTCAGAAGCAGCCCTTGGCTGGGTGAGGTGTGCCCCTCCCAGGGAGAATAAAGCTTCTGAAGAGAGACCGTCCACATCTCTGCGTTTCTCTGCTCCACCTGTGGGTGTTCCTGGGTGGGCCTGGAAGTTGCGCAATCACCTGGGTATGATGGTGTTGCTTGGCCTGGGAGAGCCAGACACCTGGGGAGAGAGACAGGAGGAAATGGGTGTGGGTCATCTCAGGCCCCAAAGAGCAGAAGCTGCGACAGTCAGGGCTGCAGGAGGTTTGGAAGGGTAACCCCTGGGAAACAGGTGGGAAGACGGGGATTGAGCTGGGTGAGCCCTGGACTGGGAAGCAGCTCAGACTCCCTCAGCAGATGGGGCCGGGCCCTCGCCCCTGCTCTGTCAGCACGGCCGTGCTCTCAGCTGGTAGCCAGCCCGAGGGCCTGCAGTGGAGGGCTGGGCCCAGCTGGGAATGCCAGGCAGAGCTGTCTTCCGTCTGACACGGTGTCTCCTATGTACCTTTATGGCTTCTCCTTGGCCCAGGGACCTGAGCTATAGCTCTCTTTCCTGTGCCCTCTCCCTGTAGGAGCTTGCGGCCCTCCTCTCTGCACCCACATCCTATAGGCACCAAACACTGCAACCTGACCTACCTGCTGTTACCTCAGTTTCCCCACATGGAGCTCTCTTCTTAGCATCTCATCTCCCCACCCACCTGGCTCTGCCCCTCTGGGTCCCACAGGCCCACTGCAGGCCCCTCTGTCCCTCCCACAGGCCCAGGCCATGCTGAGAGCTCCAGGCCCAGCCTCTGCATGTCTGGGAACATCTTCAGGCCTCTCTGTGCGTCATGCTGCCCTTCAGAGGCCTGTGAGTTCCCCGTCTCCTCAGGGATTCCCTGCCCTGCTTTCCTTTATGATTCCTGCTCTTCTAGGAAGTGTGTGCTTCCATAAAGGCCTGTCCAGACCCCGCCTTTCGAAGGCTGCCAGCAGCAATAACAACAGGCAGTGCCAAGCTCCATACTGGCTACACTTCTGTCCCTTGAGCCCCAGCTCGATGCCAGGCAAGAATCCAAATCCTCCATGCATGTTTCTCTTGCTACTCATGATCCCAGGGAGGCAGGAGGTATTTTTATCAACATTTATAAATGAGGAAATGGAGGCAAAGAGACATCTAACTGCCCAAGGCTGCACAGCTACTGTGAAATTGTATTCCCCTTACTTCCCAAGTTAGGAGGACGTTGAAGCTCCCTCTGCCTGTAGAGGAACTCACCCCTCCCAGGTGCCGAGTCTCCCGGAATAGGCCTTGGCTGGGGGTGGCCTGGCAGAGGTGGCTGTGCTCCTGGGCACCCACACCCACCATAGGGGAGGCTCTACTCTCCCATGGCCACCCCACCAAAGCAGGCCTTGCTGGTGATGCCCCGTGCACTGCTGGAGTCAGGCTGAGCTCACAGGCCTTTCTAGAAGTCCAGGAGAAACCCACCAACTCCCACTCTGTGCAGTTCCTCAGAGCCTGAAGCCCAGGCCCAAGCCAGGCCCCCCGGGAGCCTCCTTTTTCCCACTTCCCACCTGCCTTCTGCGGCAGGGTCGGCTCAGACCCCGGCGTGCTCCTGGCATGTCCAGCCTCACATCTTGCTGCCTCCAGACAGAAAAGAATGTGCCTTCACTTCTGCTTAAAGCCTTCTGGGCTCTGTTCCTAGCTCAGAATTGGTCTTCTACCACAATGCCTGGTGCTGGAGATGGCAGCTTCCCGGAGAGAAGCTGTTCCCGTCCCTAGCGGTGGGACTTGCCCTAGCACGTGCCACTTATACCAGAACAGATGAGTCCATGTCAACTGCTTCCTGAGTTCCCTTTGTTCTGCCTCAAACACTACCAGGGCTGGGGTATCCACGGCAGCATCCAAGCACATGCAGCTGCCTCTCAGCCCACAGCCAGGCCGCTCACACTCCTCCCAACAAGAGGTGGAAGCCAGCCTGGTGTCTCCATAGGGTCAGTCCTGGCTTCCCCGTAAACATCCTTCGTGACAGAAGAGCAGGCAAAGCCTCGAGCACAGGCCCATCCAACTCAAACAGAGCCAGGAAGTGCCTCTCCCTGCTTTTCAGACACAAACAGAGCTTGGTTTTAGCCAGGGCGCCCACTGCAGTCACGCTGGAGACCTCTGGTGCAGATGGGCGAGACTGGACCCAGCTTTCCAGCTTTCTTCCCCTTTCCATAATTCTCCTGAAAGTGTAAGGTAAGGACATAAGACTTCGTTATCCCCCAATTTCCTTTCTTTGTCCCCTTCTTTCTTAAGTCATATAACCTCTGCATTTTACCTGGGCACACGGCTGCCCAGAAGAAAGGCTGGATTTCCCAGCATACTTTGCACTAAGTGTTGGTCATGGAACCAAGTTCTAGTCAACAGGATCTGGCTGCAAATGATCTGTGCGGTTTCCAACATGCACCCTGAAGGGGGGTCATGCTGTTGCCCTCCTTTCCCTCCCCGGGCTGGCTGGAAGCAGACCCAGTGACACGGCGATGGGCATTGCCCAACCCCGCGGATGTGGGCAGCACTTGGACCCGGGGGAAGGAGGGGTGTGCGGCTGCCCGCGATGGAGGAAGCCGAGTCCAACATCATGGAGGCTCATCTCCCCCGGGGCGACTCACTGCCAGGCTATTCTGTGGGAAATAAGCTTTTATAAGCTTTTGTGGCCTTTGAGAACGTTTATGTCTCGCCATGTTAACAGAAGCATTTAAGGTGGTTTAGAAGTATAATAAACAAAAATATGCATGAGTGAACGGGGGCTGAGAGGAAAGTGGTGGTGAGTCAAACCCGGAGTGTGGTTGTATCCAGACTGCAGGCTGTGAAACTGCATACCCTTCTAAAGCTGGGCCACAATTCAGCTCAGAGCTTTCTGGCTGCTGAGAGTGCAAGGACACCTGACTGGTGACCTCATTCACGGTGTCCAGATGCCAGAAACAAATTAGTGTTTCTGCTTCCCATAGAGATAACTGCTTCTCATAGAGATAGTAATCCATCTCATGAATCCTCCTTAAAAATGTTTTATAATATAATGACTGCCGTCTTATGTGACTTCATATGGTGGCAAGTTGCACACAGCTGTTTCTTATGACCTTCCCCAGTGTGACTGAATGCACATTAAACCTCCGCCACTACCAGCAGCTCACCAGGGCAGGGAGTGTGTGCATGGGGTGGCAGCACGCTGGATCCAGGGCTCTAGTGCTCTGCTGATCTGACTTCATCCAACTGGGATAGGGTGAGGAAGTGGAATTCACCAGAAGTCTTTCCAGAGAGAGCTTTGCATTTACCTAGAACATTCTGATGTGGTGAAGCTGGGGCGGTGGGACATTCAGAATCAAAGGCTGGCCACAGACTTGCTCCAGGTAATAAAGGGAAGGAGAATCCTAAGGGAGGTGGAAAAGAGAGGAGGGCCCGGTACGTGGCAAGAGGGGGAGGGAGGGGGAAGAGGACCCTCCGTGGCAGAGTGGAGACCTGTCTTTGGGGAGAATACGGGAGTATGTAATGAAAATTCCCTTCCTTTTCTCCCCTCCAAAATCAACAGTTCCTCTTTGTTCCCTGTTCTTTGTGGGAATGACCCCTTTTGGGCAAGCTCAAAGAGGAGTTGATTTCTTTAGCTACAGAGACACAAACAGGAACAGACTGCAGAGCAAAGCCCACCACATCAGGTTGGACTGCACATCCATTAGGCATCCTCCACAAAGGCCGCTATTCCCTCTGCCAACCCACAGTGGACATGAGTAGGACCAAGAAATTAATCCTTGCTGTCATAAGCTACTGAGAGCTCAGGGCTGTGTTGATGGCCACAGTGACAGACTCTGGGTATCAGTTATAACGCAGTTATAAAGTTTTGGAGCAACCAAAACAGCAAACAGTAGAGGAAGAGTTAAAACAATGATTCCCAACCTTAACTACCTGAATATCTTCATTCTACCCTCTTTATTTATTTATTTAGATAGTCTCTGTCACTCATGGAGTGTAGTGGCGCAATCTCAGCACACTGCAACTTCCCCCTCTCGGGTTCAAGCGATTCTCCTGCCTCAGCCTCCCGAGTAGCTGAGACTACAGGTGCCTGGCTAATTTTTGTATTTTTAGTAGAGACGGGGTTTCACCATGTTGGCCAGACTGGTCTCAAACTCCTGACCTCAAGTGATCCACCCGCCTTGGCCACCCAAAGTGCTGGGATTATGGGCGTGAGTCACCACACCTGGCCTCATTCTACCCTCTTTAAATCCTCTAATGAAATTCACAGATCATATTACCAACACATTATCTAAATGATATTAATATATTGCCGTCACTTTAAATGAGAAATAAAGAATAGAAATTTTAAAATAAGATAATCCATGCTTCACCAGGTAGATGGTGGGAAAGTTCCAGTTGCTCCCGGGCTCTGGAGCACTAACTTGAATTCAGATTTTACTCACAGGAGCTCAGAACCTGAGATTCAATTGCAAAGTAGCTGAGGGCTAATCAGATCTGTCCTGGGTTGCCTTCTGCACTGCCTCGTGGTCACAAAAGGCTCCAAGCATGGACTTTAAAAATATTATGAGAAAACATACTTAACATAAAATTTGGCCAGGCACAGTGGCTCATGTCCGTAATCCCAGCACTTTGGGAGGCTGAGGCGGGTGGATCACTTTGAGCTCAGGAGTTGGGGCAACATGGCAAAACCTCGTCTCTACAAAAAAATACAAAAAAAAAAAAAAAAAAAAAAGCCAGGTCATGTCCATCCCTCCTGGAGCAGCTGTCAAGAGAAGTCAGGGCTTGGCCAGCCCACCACTGGGGCCTGTTCCCAGAGGGCCACCTGCCAGCAGTGGAGGGGAAAATGGAGGCCAGCCCTGGACTAAGGCTGCTGGCACCAACCTGGAATCCATTTGGGAAAGATGGAGACTGGCTGGGAACACCAGCTGGACACTGTGGTGGCAGGGTGACAGTGACAAATTGGAACAGTCATGAGGGAAGGTGTGGGCAGGGCCAGGCCTGCCTGGATGCCCATGTCAAGCTCACAGTCAAGCCCTCCCTATTCCTCAGACCTCCCCCGTGGTCCATCTGGGAGCTGGGAATCCTTCCTTCCTTAGAGATTAGTCCCATCAGGGTTTTAGTAACAATAATAAACATAACAGCAGGAAACACTATTGACCTCACTACATGTGAGGCGCCATACTGTTATAGCAGCTCATTGCAAAATACCATGGCCCAGGGGCTTAAACAATACACTTATTTTCTCACAGTTCTGGAGGCTGGAAGTCTGAGGTTAAGGTGCCGACAGGATTCTGTCTGATGAGGCCTCTCTCCCTGTCTTGCAGATGGTAACCTTCTTGCTGGTGTACTTGTGCAGAGGGAGGTCTCCCCTATCTCTTTCCCATCTCTTCTAAGGACTCCAGTCCTACTGGATTAGAGCCCCACCTTATAACCTCACTGAATCTTTACTATCTCCTGATAAGCCCTATCTCCACATAGAGTCACATTGGGGGCTAGCAATTCAACATATGAATTTGCAGGGACCCAATTCAATCCTAATAGCTCCTAACATTGTATGAGACTTTATTATTTACCAATATATCTTATGTCTATCCTATCTTTAGTTTCCACTGAAAACTGCAGTTTCAGCATAGCAGCTCTTTGCCAAGCTACTCACTGCTTAGACTCCAGCCAGGCCTCTGGATTCCTGAACTAGCATTTGCAAGTGCTCTGTGTAAGGGGGAGACAGAGGGGCATGAACTAGTCTACAGGAACTGGTACACACTGCCTCCCACTTACCAAGGTCCCAAGAAGTGGATCCTGTGTGCTGGTGTGGTGACTGCCCTTTGGAGCTTGGCTGCAATGCTTGGTTGCCTCCTTTTCTAGAATGCTCCCATTTTCCCCGTGCTTTCTCCTTGACTGAGGCCAGCTGCTGGTTGCTGTTTGTCATTTTACTTTGCCAGTTTATTTTTCATGCATTAGAGTTAGGAAGAAAATAGTGTCTTGTACCCATAACTCTATGAAAACCAGACAGGCCCAGCTCAAAATTTATAGAGCCCAGGGCAAAAGTACAAGTGAGGGTCCACAAACCATATATCTAAATATTTCATGATTATTGTAAGCCAAAAATAAAATTATAAGTCTCCCAACCAATTGAATGTGTTACAGATAGTTAGGCATGAGCGGGGTAGGATAGGGCTCCCCCTTAATCCACTGAAAATGTTGGGTGGTGGTTCGGCAATTACTGAATTGCCTCTCTAAGAATGCTAATTTCACAGCGCCAGGGAGAGGCCATTTCCTGGTAGTCCACACCTGTTAACAGCAAAATGTTAATTGAATGCAGGCCCCAGGGAGAAGCAACTTCCTGGGCATGCATGTTAAGAGGCAAAACATGGTGAAGTATGATCTTCCGGGGGCACACTCCACTGGAAAAAGGAAGAAAGCCTCAGATGGGCCTGTGTATAACTCCCTAAACACACCACACATGCTCAATTCTAAAAGGTAAGGAAAGCACTGGGCATGAGGAAAACCCACCCTCAGGGAGGAATCATGGGAAAGAAGGGAGCTTATAAAAGTCCTAGGATCATGGTCAAACATGACCTTCTCTCTTTAGCCTTCACGTGCTTGCTCGGGTCTCTTCCAAGCACACCTTCCTTTCATTCCTGTTCTAAGACTTCTTAAATAAACTTCCATTCCTTTTCTGGAACTTGCCTCAGTCTCTTTTTCTGCTCTATGCCCCTCAGTTGAATTCTTTCTTCCGAGGAGGGAAGGACTGAAGTTGCTGAGGACCTGCCAAGACCAGCTCAGTTGGGGAGACCCTAACCCAGCAGCATTAGAGGAATTACACACACACAGAAATACAGAGGTGTGAAGTGGGAAATCAGGGGTCTCACAGCCTTGAGAGCTGAAAGCCCTGAACAGAGATTTACCCACGTATTTATTAACAGCAAGCCAGTCATTAGCATTGTTTCTATAGATATTAGATTAACTAAAAGTATCCCTTATGGGAAACGAAGGGATGGGCCAGAATAAAGGGGTGGGTCTGGCTAGTTATCTGTAGCAGGAACATGCCCTTAAGGCACAGATTGCTCATGCTATCGTTTGTGGTTTAAGAACGCCTTTAAGCAGTTTTCCACCCTGGGCAGGCCAGGTGTTCCTTGCCCTCATTCTGGTAAACCCACAACCTTCCAGTGTGGGCGTTATGGCCATCATGAACACATCACAGTGCCACAGAGATTTTGTTTATGGCCAGTTTTGGGGCCAGTTTATGGCCATGTTTTTTTTTGGGGTGGGGGGGCTGTTCCCAACATGTCCCCCTTTTTTGATTTGCAAATTGATAAAAGCAAAGGCACCTTTGTCACGGTGAGCTACTTCTCATAGGAGTCAGGATCCGCATCTGCAGACTATACAAAGAAAAACAACAACACAGATTAAAAGCATAATAATCATTGAAATCACAGAGCCTCCAAGTGTTTTTATCCATTTTAATGGGTTACTAGCTGCTAATCTGTCTGCAGCTCCTTCAAGCACTCCAGTTCTTGGCATTAAGGTCAGGTGTGCCTGGGATGCTTTAAATATTTGTTTTTTTAATTTTGCAATATCCAAAAACAAGTTTGTAGAGTGTCCTTCTAGATGCTTTTCTATTCTTTCCCAAATTTTGATCTTATTAAAAGCTATTAATAGTTTCCACAAAATCTTATGTTAGCTCCTACAACAAGCCATATCATTTGAGGTTGAGGTGCCACTATACTGCCATGGTTCCAGATAATAGGAACTCTTGTCATACTTTTTATCATTTCTACCATCTGACCGTTTTGTTCAGACCATCTGAACATAGTGTGGCCATGGCATGCAGACTCAGAGGTGCAATTCAAGCTAAATATCCCCTTAGGGGACCAATTAATAATGATTCCATAGGAATCGTTGTGCAGCACCTCTGCCTGTTCTGCAATGCAATCTTCCTAAACAAGTACGTTCATTTTCTGGCCAGGTTCAATTTTGTTTACAAATAGGTTTTTGAGGGCTGTATGCCTCAATTATAGGAACAGATTTATTATGGTAAATACTGAGATCAGAAAGCATGTGTAACTGTGTCATAGAGTGATTACATCCAGGCATTATTGCCAGCCAAGATTGATAAATATGCCCAATAAGTATAATTGTTCTCTGTGTCAGCCCTTGTTGAAGGAATACTCACGGCAATGGTGATCATCACTATCGTAGCTACTATTAAATTACTCATTGTGACTGGCTGTCTCGCTTTCCTTAGGTTTTCTTCTGCCATCTGTGACAGCTTCTTGATCTGTCCTCCGGTGGGTGGTTGTGTTCAACAGGTGTTGCTTGTGACAGTTGGGGTCCTCCTGAGCATCAGCCTCAACACGGCTGCAACAGGGGGTCCTTGGGATCCTCCTGGAATCTCTTCCTTGGCATCTGGCTCATGATAAGGTTTCAGGTGTCTTGATGGTATCCAAATCGGCTGTTGATTTTGGCCTGGAGAGACATAAGCATAACCTCTACCCCAAGTTATTATTTTACCTATTTCCCAATTTTTTGTTATTGGATCTCACCACCAAATCAGTTGTTCTGCTTCTGGCTTTGCAGCTGGTTTCTGTAGATGCTATTCAGCTACTGATAACATCTGGCCTTTGGGCAGGCTCAAAAAATTTAAAGTTAATAATGCTAGATTCAATTGTGTATGGGCTGTCCCAAATCCCTGTTTCTCCCCCTTTTTTGTTTTTATTATCAATTGTTCATCTGTATGAAATTGTAACTGAGCATTTTCAATTAACTGTGTGGAATGAACCACGTATGAAGAATCAGAAATCACATTAATAGGCATATCAAAAACAGTCAATACCTTAATTACAGCTACAAGCTTTGCTTTTTATAGGGAGTCTGGAAAACTTTACTTTTCGAGCCAGAATAAGAAGCTTTACCATTATTAGACCCATCTGTGAAACAATGAAAATGCTTAGCAGGCTGCAGGTTGTTTACTGCAGGAATTATAAATGCAAACTGTTCACAGTCTTGCTCAGCTAAAGGGATAGTAAAGAAACAGTCTTTTAAATCTATGAGTATTAAAGGCCATTTTTTTGGAATTACAGCAGGAGAAGACAATCCTGGCTGTAATGTTCCCATAGGTTGTATAACTGAATTGATGGCTCTTAAGTCAGTTAACATTCTCCATTTACCTGATTTTTTTCTTAATTACGAAAACTGGAGAATTCCAAGGCGAAAATGTTGGAGCTATGTGCCCATTTCCTAATTGTTCAGTAACTAATTTCTCTAAAGCCTCCAGTTTCTCTTTACTTAGTGGCCATTGTTCTATCCAAATTGGCTTATCTGTTAACCATTTTAAAGGTATAGGTTCTGGAGGCTTAACAATGGCCGCCATCAAGAATGATATCCTAATCTTTGGTGGGAACTTTGTCTTTCCACTTGAAGCAGTTCTTTCAAATCTTGCAAACTTTTTTCTAGTCCCATACCAGGGACATACCCCATTTCATGCATCATATGTTGACTTTGAGGGCTATATAATTGTTCTGGAATTAGAACTTGTGCTCCCCATTGTTGTAATAAATCTCTCCCCTATAAATTTATAGGTACAGAAGTTATAATTGGTTGAATGGTCCCAGGTTGTCCATCAGGCCCTTCACAATGCAAAATATAACTACTTTGATATACTTCAAGGGCTTTGCCAACTCTAACTATGTTAAATTGAGCAGGTTGAATTGGCCACGCAGACGGCCAGTGCTGTAGAGAAATGATCGAAATGTCCACTCCTGTATCTACCAAATCTTTAAATTTCTTTCCCTGAATAGTTATTTCACATGTAGGATGTTTATCAGTAATTTGATTTACCCATTAAGCTGCTTTGCCTTCTTTATTTGTGTTTCCAAATCCTCCTGTTCATTTAATTTCACTTTTTCCCATTCCCACATATGGCACAATCAGGAGCTGTGCTATGTGCTCTCCTGGCTCTGCTTTCCAGGGAACAGAAGTAGATATAACAATTTGAATTTCCCCATTGTAATCTAAATCAATGACTCCTGTTTGTATTTGTACCCCTTTTAAATTTAAACTAGACCTTCCTAAAAGTAATCCTATTGTCCCTGATGGCAAGGGTCCACAGACTCCTGTTGGGACCTTTTGTGGGGGTTCCCCAGGCAGAAGGCTCACAGCTTTTGTACAGCATAAATCTACTGCAGCACTACCGGCTGTGGTAGGGGAAAGACATTGTACAGGGGTGAGGGAATGGCCTGAGCTGGAAATGCCCTGGTTTGGAATGGGGCCCAGGACAGGCCCCTCATGGCATTTCCCAAAATCGGGTTCCCATCTTTATCAAACCTAGAGTTACACTGATTAGCCCAATGTTTTCCTTTTTTATATTTTGGACATATTTCAGACTCAGCAGTTTTCTTTTTTCCCCTATCTGGCAGCCTGACTCGCTGATTATTTCTACATTCTTTTTTAGTATGAATAGCTTGTTTAAATTCTTTGAGTAATTTAAAAGGAAAAGGCTCAAATGTAGCTATATTTCCCTGTTGATCTGGAGGGTGTATTCTAACAGGGAACTGCCAAGCCTCTATATCACCCTCTCTTCTAGCTTGCTGGATTCTTGCCTAAATAGAACTGAAAGCGGTCGCTTGAGGTGCTGCTCGAACAGTCACTGGGGCAACTACTTTTCACCCAGTATCCTGCAGAAAAGAAAGATCTGGAGGGTCTTTTTCTTCAAAATAATAAGCAGGGGGTGCAGAAGGGTAGGGATGAACCTCTCCCTCCTTTGCTGCTTTAGCTTTAGCTGGCAAACAAACCTGCTCTGTAACCTCTACTGTTACTTCGTTACACTCTCCTTCTTCCTCATCATCAGTGTGAAAAAGTTCCAAGGTGGAATGAACCAGACTCCACACTTGTCCCATTGTTACCCTGATGCTTCTGAGCTCCCCTTCTTACTCACCATGGGGATTGCTTTAAGAGTACTCGGGTGTCCTCCAGCTTAGTTCTCCACGTTCTCCAACCGTCACTCTGGCAACCCTTCAACCTGGATTTGAGCCCCCACAATGGACGCCACTTGCCGTGACCAGCTCAGTCGGGGAGACTCTAACCCAGCGGCGCTGGAGGAATTAAACACACACACACACACAAATATAGAGGTGTGAAGTGGGAAATCAGGGGTCTCACAGCCTTCAGAGCTGAGAGCCCCGAACACAGATTTACCCACGTATTTATTAGCAGCAAGCCAGTCATTAGCATTGTTTCTATAGATATATTAACTAAAAGTATCCCTTATGGGAAATGAAGGGATGGGCCGAAATAAAGGGGTAGGTCTGGCTAGTTATCTGCAGCAGGAACATGCCCTTAAGGCACAGATTGCTCATGCTATTGTTTGTGGTTTAAGAAGGCCTTTAAATGGTTTTCCACCCTGGGTGGGCCAGGTGTTCCTTGCCCTCATTCCGGTAAACCCACAACCTTCCAGTGTGGGCGTTATGGCCATCAAAAGCATGTCACAGTGCTGCAGAGATTTTGTTTATGGCCACTTTTGGGGCCAGTTTATGGCCAGGTTTTGGGGGGCCTGTTCCCAGCAGGACCAGTATAAATTTGCTGCCAGTAACTCAGGGTAACTCAGATCTCTTTCATGGGTAACAAATGGATCCCTCCTCTTGGCCAAGGACCTGAAATTAACCTGAAAAAGTAGTTCAGGCCATGATGGGGAAGGAGGAGAGTTGGATGTGCCTCATTATACACCCCTCTGTTTGGATTCAGGCACAGCTGACCAGCATTAACATCAACACAAAGACCTTCAGATTGACAGAGCAGACTCTTTGTAGCAATAAGACACCAACATGACAGATAGCAGGCCATAAAATAAATCAAAGTATTTTACCCCCAAATGTATTTCTTTGACATATTTTGAAGTGGCCCTGCAAAGCTGTCTCTAGTGAGGAAATCTACATTCTGTAGAGAATCCCCTTCCCTTTCCATGTCTTTTTCCTGATCCAGGAAAGAATTAACTAAGAGTCTGACAACTTTTTAAGTCTGATAAGAAACATTTACAATCTACTCTCTCTGAAGCCTGCTACCTGGAGGCTTCATCTGCATAAAAAAACCTTGGCCTCCACAACCCCTATTTCAACCTAGACACTCCCTTCTGTTGATTCCAGGTCTTCAGATAAACTTTTTCAACCAATTTCCAGTCAGGACGTCTTTGAATTCACCTGTGACCTGGAAGCCTCTCCCTCCACCCCGACCCCTCCTGCCCACTTCCAGTTGTCTCTCCTTTCTGGGCCTGACCAATGTAAATCTTTCATGTGTTGTCTTTTGTTTCCCTAAAATGTATAAAACCAAGCTGTAGCCAGACCACCTAAGGCACACGTTCTCAGGACCTCCTGAGGCTGTGTCATGAGCATGTCTTTAACCTTGGCAAAATAAGCTTCTAACTGATTGAGACCTGTCTCAGATACTTTTTGGTCTACATTATAAATAAAACCAAACAACTGTAAAATGGAGTCTATCTTCTGGCCTTGACAAATGTACCTTCATAGAGATCTGTAAGGCCAAGTTCAAATGTAGACTTCTTGGACTCCTTGGAGTTCCATGTGGCCCTGTGAGAAGAGACAGCAATGCCCCAACCTGCCTTTGTAGGTGTGTGCTGATCTGGGCACACATCCTAGAAGGGGATTGGAGCCACTGGACCTCTCAGGTCCTAGGCAGCTGGGGTACCATGCAGAGGCTCCCAGAGAACATGGCCCCTCACTCCATGACAAGCAGGGGATAAAGGCCGGAAGAGGGCATCTTCGTATCTGTTATTGACTTGGAGGGTTTGACCTTGACTTAATTTTATCCCTCAAAATTGGCCCTTACAATCTCACATGCCCCACTCTTCCTCAATAGCTGCTAGGCCTAGAGGGAGGGTGCTTTTATAGTTTCAGCAGCAGAGCATTTGTAGTGAAACAGGTCTGGGCCCAGTGGGATGCTAAACGAGGGACTCATCTCTGGCCTTCAGAATACCATGATTTTGGTTTCCTTGGAAGTAAAACAAGGAGAGAGAAATAACATTTATAGTTTGACAATTATAAGAGTAATTTGTGTGTCAGAACAGAAAAAGGAGCCTATTCAATTAGGGCACCAATTAAAAATATGAAGAAAAATTATAACCTGGTACTCTCTATAGGATTATTGTAGCCAAGAAATAATTCATGATTTAATCTACACTTTAAAAAACAAAAATTATGGTCAAAATCTACTGCCAAGTGTTACACTTTTCCTTTAAAACCATTTTTTAGCTCCTTTCTTTTCTACTAAAGAGAAATTATAGTAAGACCAATTTCTGTGTAAAGTAAGTTCTAGGCTCATTATACTTGTCCTGATTATTTGCATAAAATTCAGCAAAAATTGATTAGCCACATAGGCTCCTTCTAAGTTGGCTTTGCTGGAACTTTACCTAAAAATATACTATTTTAGTTAAAGTCTTTGTACATTAACCATTGTCTCCAACTGTTCTGTTTTAAAAGACTTTTATTGAACTTACACAAATAACTATATTGTCATAAAACCACAATCCAGATTTTGGAGAACTTAGAGAGAAAGGTACATTTGCTTAAAAAACATACTTCACTCAAATAACTAAAAAAAAAAAAAAAAAAAAAAAAAGATTTTCTTGACCTTCTTTAACTAGAGCAGCATCTTTTAAATGAGATGTCTATTTACCTCGGAAATACCATTCACAAGCCAAGCAGCTCATGAGAGCTGTCTATCAGGCACTGTGGAATCCAGCAACTCCTCCCAGAGTTAGAATTAGTCCTAAGAAAGGGCTCCTTGTTTATCAGTATCTCCTCCTTATATTCCCAGGTAGCAAGATTCTATGTAAACCATTTTTATTTTATTATGGAACTCTTTTGGGCACCATTGTTTCCATTAACATAGGGATAGCTTCAATTAACATTCCAGATTAAGGCAGTAAATGGCCCTCAACTGGAAATTCTCTAGTTTAGTTTTTGTCATTGGGAAGTACTCAGTCTTTTGCCATCAGCCCCAGTAAATGTTCCACAAACGATATGAAGTGGAGGATTTGTCCTGACTAGTATTCCAGCTTCTACCCTATAGTATGTGGGTTCAGAAAACCTTACTAGTTCCCATTTGGTGTGTCCAATTTCTCAAAAGAGCAGATTTACATGCCCTTAGTTTTATAGCACTAGAAAGGGGAAACATCCCTCAGTCAAATGCAGTACCCATTTTCATAAGACATTTAGGTAAAAGGTGTTACAACTACCTTACATAAAGTTTGTTTAAACATCTTACATTTCATTATTTTATTAACCTGTATGTTTTTATGTCCTGGTCCCAGGAACCTTTTTCTACCCCAAGACCATTTTACCTTTTCTGGTGAAAAAAGGTTTGGGTTCCTAGCAGCAAGCTGCATCTGCAAAACTCATGAGGGATAGCAAATTTGATAAGGCTTCTCAAGCAGTCGTTATGATTCTGTGGGAGGGGCAACCATGTAAAAGGGACCCCCTCAACCCCCAAATTTACCATGACTTCGGTAATAGGCATATTTGGTGGAAGGATATACCAGTTATCCTAAATCCAGTTATATGGCTTGCACATGAAGCATATTAACTGCTTCATCTGAGGTGCTTGTTTCACTTGGTATTTTATACAGAGAGCTGGGCAGTCCCCTTCTCAGGGCAACCAGACATTATGGTGGCATTTATCTGGTCCACTAGACTAACTGTTCTCTCAGGAATGACCTCTTCTGCATTTGGATCATATATACTCATTAGTGATTGTTCAATAGTGAGCTGTGGGGTGCTGCATCAACCCAAACAAGCTCTTAATTTCTGTAGCATTTAAAATTAAGGATTTTGTCCTTAAAGTGGTTATTTTTACAATCCGCTATACATTTTTTTAAGAAGCTGATGATACAAATCTACAAAATGAAACAATTTCTTTATATTATACCCTCTGGTTTTAAATAGTTTTGCCCTTCCCCCACATTGACTATCTTTTTGATAGCCACAGGTCTGAGTTAACTTTTGTTGCTCTGGCTTAATTGTTCTATTTAGTTTTATCTGTATATATTTTTTTCTTCATTCTAAAGCAACTCTTAAGTAGTTTTTTAACTAGCGAAGAAAAACCTACTTTCCTTTTCTGGCAAAATCAACATCCTTGTGTTTTATAAACTTCACCAAAAACATATTTTATGCTCCTATTTTAACTTTTAGTAATTCAAAATTTCCAGTGATAAAAACTGAGGTTTTAACATGACTTTAAGATTTTAAATTACTAGAGAGTTTTGAGATTAAATTTGCCAAATTACTTTTACCAAAGATTACCAAGATCATGTGAATTAAAAGTCATCTGAGCTAGCATCTACCAATCTGATAAGCACTTACATTTTTAAAGTTACTAGGTTAGAGCTCTTTCATGTAGTTTGGTAGTGAAATATCACTTCCACATGACACAGATAAAGATATAACAGGCATGCAGAATTAAAAGGTCTACAAGATCTAATTTTATTGGCCTGTTTTCAAAAAAAAATTATCTCCCTTCAGATAATTTTGTTAATTATCCTATAACTATTATTAAGTTACAGGAACCAACAAAAGGTGAAGGAGAGATCTATTATCTAAGGCCATTTCAAAAGAGAAAGAGCTGAGCTTGTGAGATATCAATCTGCAGAATGTCAAAGAGACAGATTATAGAGTTTATAAATTTAAAACTTATTACATTAAAAATAAGTCAATATTTGTAATAAAATACTGTTTTAGCCAATTATTTAGTTTTGTATTAGTGTATTTTTTAAATATCAAAGACCCATCTCTAGAAAGACTACTATAATTTCTTCTTAATCATAGCCAACTGCATTATACAATCTTTTTTTTTTTAAACAAATTCCTTTTACTAACCTTATTACAACTTACATAGACCATTCACAACATGCTTAAATTTTCTGTTCTGTCCTAAATATCTTTCTTGAACAACCTAGTCATTTTATTTTAGGACAAAAATTCGCTACACAAGATTCTTTCTTATATAGTATCACTTTCCTTTTTACCTTCTTTACCAAAAATTACCTCTTTATGTCTTATGTTTCTCTACATCTCTTATTTCCTAGTTCCTTTTACCTTGTTTTATACATAACCTTTAAATAAGCTTTGAATTAGAAAAAGATATTTACCATTTAAAAAAAAGTTTTTCTATAATTTTTAAATTGGAAATTACCCAGATACTTAATACTTATTAATAACCTGAGGTCCTAAATTATATGACGTTTGTTTACAAACACTTATTCCATTACCTTTACCTGATTAATTTATTTGTTTACCTGGATTATTAACAAAAACTGTGACAGTCATTATTGAAGTTATTTCCCTGTTAACCATTTTTATAGCTGTGAATTTCAGGTGTTTACTTCAATAATGAACTTATGATTAAATATAAGAGTATTTTTTCCAGTAACTCATGATTTAGCTGTTTTCATTAAACCAACCATATTCCATGTCTTATTTATCAAAAATTATACAAGCAAAGATCATTCTGTCTTGGGCTGGGTTTTATAGTTTTATAACCCTATGGCTAATCTTATAGTATTCTGAAGGAATAAGCATGAAGCTACTTGATCAATAAATGCAAACAAAAATACTAACAATTCTTAGAACATTTTAATTTTTTTTACCAATGATTTTAAAGACAGTTTATTTATTAAATATTTTACTTGTCACGTGAACTTGAAAAGCATTGATTAGTATTTTTTGATCAAGTATTTAAGTGCTTTTATTTTTACTTAAGCTAATTAGAGCTCTTTTACATATTTTTAGTAGTGACACATTGTGTACACAACACATAAATGCATAGCGTATTAGGCATGGCAATAGAAGTACATCTTATGTATTTGTAAGACCTCTTTTTCCCTTAGACTTTTAAATTCATGATAGCCTGTTTCATCACCCTGGGCAGTTGTCAGCTAAATAGTCCTACATTTGCATATTAAAGGAAACAACTCTTAGGTGAAAAATCAGATAGCAAAATTTACATCTCAAAGTACCAAGAGACAGTCTGGTTTGCTAGAGGGAAATTAAAATGGATTTAATTTGCCATTTAAACAAAATTATAGAAGTCTATTATAAAATCCTTTTAAATACACACACACACACACACACACACACACACACACACACACAGATCCTATAGCTTTTACTTCAGAACTTTAGCCATGAGATAAATACAAATTCCCCAGCTTGCAAAAAAAAAAAAAAAAAAAAAAAAAAAAACAAGAAAACAAAGAAAAAGAAAAATAGGTTAGATCCAAACAGTGGTTTTTAATTTCAGTACAAAAGTAAAAGCAGATTTAAAGCAGGCAGAAAATATAGAGAAGAAGAGAACTTAGGAACTCTATAGTGTACAGGTTGACCTTAGGGCTCTTTTCCTTAATGTAAATGTGCACAAGGATCATTATATTTCCATTTTACATAAGCTCTGGCAAGTAGACGCACCATAAAACCAACAGAGTGCCCGAAATGAGGTCATTCTCCTTGTTTTCTCCTCATTCTTAGATCATTTGTTTCCCACCTTTTTTTTTCTTAGAAGTAGGAACTGAGCTGTGGCCTAGGGTTTTTGTGTGGTGGATCAATGTGTGCTGCTTGTGGGCAGGACCCCACCATGTGTCACCACTGAGTTGTTTCCACCCTGTTACATGTCTCAGTTTCTCTCTCCAGAGGTCTATTACCTTTGAGAGGGCTCAAAATGATGGGTGATCAGTCCTTATATGCATTCCTGGACAAGCCATTTTTAAAATTAATTTTTGTTGGGGATTTCCCCATAGGGCTGCTGCATGTCACAGGATGTCAACCCCCCCCCAGACACTCCCACAAGGCCCCCAGTCACCCAGGAGCACGTTTTGGCTGGGAGGAGCAAATGCCTTTCTCTTTGGAGTTGAGAAAACTCAGTCTCTCATTTACCTATGAAAACAACAGTTCAATTCCTCACACAAATGCGCAGACAAGCCGAATCAAGATTAATTTTGGGAGAAAAAGCAATAAAGAAAACCCTTTAGAATGTGTCTCTGAACTAGAATTAGAATCCTTAAACAACAACTTCCTAGGAGAAAAACCAGCTCACACTAAACGAAGGACTGTCAACCAAAGGGCGATCTGGGGCTCAGGAGAACTTAACCAGTTCCATCGGGGGAGAAGCTAGAAGTCTGGGAGGCTTCAATGGGCCCCACTGGTATCTTCGCTCCGAGTTCAGGCAACTCCTTTGGGGTCCTGAGTCTTCTCTGAGGCCCCACGCTGGGTGCCAAATTATTGTGGAAGAGTCAAACTCTGTAAAATATTTGAAGAGATTTATTGTGAGCCAAATATGAGTGACCACAGCCAGTGACACAGCCTTCAGGAGGTCTTGAGAACATGTGCCCAAGGAGGTCGGGGTGCAGCTTGGTTTAATACATTCTGAGGAGGCATGAGACTTCAAGTTAAGTTCATTTAAGAAATAAATTTGTTTGATCCAGAAAGGCAGGAAAACTCAAAGAGGGGGAGGGTGGTTCTAGGGTATAGGTCAACTTAAACATTTTCTGGTTGACAATTGGTTGAGTTTGTCCAAAGACCTGGGATTAAAGAAAGGAATGTCTGGGTTAAGAGGTTGTGGAGACCAATGTGTTTTATCACGCAGATGAAGTATTCGGATAGGGTAGCAGGCTTCAGAGAGAAGAGGCTGTAAAATGTTTCTTATCAGACTTAAAGTCTGTGTTGATGTTAATGCAGGAGAGGGATAATGAGGCATGTTCGGCCTCCACTTCCCCTTATGGCCTGAACCAGTTTTTCAGGTTAAATTCTAAAAGTCCTGGCTGAGGAAGAAGTCCATTCGGATGATTTGGTGGTTGGGAACGGGGAGGTGCCTTATCATTTATTTTTTGGTTTAAAATATAATGATATATTTTACCAAGTCTTGTGAACCATCAGGCCTCCCTCAGGCCCGGACTGGGAATTGCCAATTTCGTTAGGTGTGACCGTAATACTATGAGAATGTTTAAAAAAATAGGCCTTACTGATTAAACATACTCGAGTATTTAAAGGAGAATTTATCCACTGGGATGCTTTAAAATTACTCTGGGAAAAAAGGGAAAACGAAAGGCATGTGTGGGGTGAAGCACAGACTTGTCGTTGTTGTTTTTAAAGCAAAAGGCGGGTCCCAAGGGAAGTTGGCTGTCGGTGGGTTCCCGTTCTCCGTACCTTTCTACCTTGACAGCTCCATAATAAAACCTGCAGCCGCATAGGCGCCTCTCCCGTAGCGCTCCCGCGGGGGCGCCAGTGGGGCCCCAGCTGCGAGGAGGGCCCGGGCTCGCGAGACTCGGTCCCCCACTTCCGTCCCCGCGATCCCCGGCTCCCAGCCCCCCGGGCCCCCGGCGGGGCTCTGCGCTGCCGGAGCTTGGGCGTCTGCTGCTGTCCCGGAGCGCCAAGTCGTCCGAGGTCCGGCCGCCCGGCCGGGGCGGGGCCAGGGAGGCCCGGCCTTCCCGCTTCCTGCCTGAGCCGCAGGCCCGCCCCTGCGTCCTCCGCCCGCCTCTTTCCCGCCGCCGCCTGGGAGGGGACCCGGTAAGCGCGGCCCTGTTCCGGGCGGGGTTGGGGCGGAAGGTGGGGTCAGCTGGGGCCCAAGGGGGGTCGGGGAGGCGCGCGGGAGAGGGCGCCCGGGAGTGGGTGCGCGGGAGGCGAGTGAGCCGGGCGCCGGGCCCTGGGGGCTCGGCGGGAGGGGGAGTCAGGTGGGGACCGGGATTTGGGGGACTCGGTGGGGGAAAGGCGCGCGGGAGATGAGGTAAACACGAGGGGTCGGAGGGGCGGCCTGGGGCGGGGTGGGGCCATGCCTGGGGTAGGCCACGCCTCGGGGAGGCCGGGAGAGAACCCAGGCGCTGGGGGTCGCGGGGGAGCCGGCCGGTCCTACCCTTAGGTGTCTGAGGCCGCTCCCCACACCGCTGCGGTGTGCATTCAGCGGCCCTGTCTCCTCCTTCCTGGCCTGCTCAGGGCACGGCTCCTGGTTGGATGTCACACGCGTGACTCCTGCAGCGCCCGCGCGCAGGGACCCCTCGCTGCCTCAGCCAGACCTCCCGCCAGCCTCTACCACAGGCTCAGCCCACTGTCCTGGGTGGGCTCGGTGCAAACCTCTGGTGAAGAAAACCTCCTGGGGGTGCCCAGCCGGGAGTCTGTCTCAGAGTCCCACACTCTCTCCATCCAGGAGAGCCGGTGGGATAGGTCTCTTTAAAATCCCGTTATTTATTTGTTTATTTTTTCCTCTTTCTTCCAGTTTTTTCCATATGACTTTAGTGATCAAATCCCACTTTTTTTTAGAAGGCTTTTTTTACACCAGTGGTTTTCAAACTGTGGTCCCAGGACCAGCAGCACTGCCTTTCCTGAGATCTGCTAGAAATGCGGGTTCCCCAGCCCCACCCTGACCTTCTAAATCCTAAACCTTGGGGGTGGGTCCCCATACTTGTCTTTAGCAGGTCCTCCTCGTGGTTCTGACCATTGATCTGAAACCTTAGGGCTTTGAGGAGTCTGAACTGGGGTTGAGGATGGGCCAGGTGCCCTGTGATGATAATGCATGACTCCATTTAATCTTCACAGCCCTACACAGTAGGTAGTATTACCCCATTTCACAGATTAGGCAACAGAGGTACAGAAAGTTTAATTTTTCCAAGGTCACAGACCTAGAAAGGGGAGGAGCTGGGATTCCAACCTTGGGTTCCGGCTCCAGAACATTCCCACTGAGGCGAGGTCCCCTGTGAAGGTGGGGAGGGGTGAAGCCCAGAGGTCCTGGCGGCCTCCCTGCCAGGCAGAAACCATTAGTTCCAGAATCACGACCAGCCAGGTGCGTGGTCAGCAGTGGCCCTGCCTGCCTGCCTTTGGGCGAGCCCTGGTCTGTGTGAGCTGCTGGGTCCAGGTCCCCGGGCAGGATGTGTTCGCACTGGGGTGCTGACGGGGCGCCTAGAGGCCTGGGTCCAAGGCCAACCTCACAGGGTGACACAGGGATGCTTCTGGGTGACAGAGTGTCCGTTTCCTCCTCAGTCTGATGGGGGCGGATACCCCCCAACCCCATGCTGGCAGCTGGGAGGGTGGGCAGCCTCACAGACTCAGGCGTGGCTCTGAACTGTGGCCCCAGGTGGTCCACAACCTGTCCTGCCCAGCCTAGCCCCTTTCAAGGCACAAGGGTCTCTGACCACTGCCCCATAGCAGGGTTTCTCGGCCTCCACACTACTGACATTTGGGGTGGGGCAGTTCTTTGTTTTGGGGGGCTGTCCTGTATCACCCCCTGTCGGGACAACCAAAACCATGTGCAGACATTGCCCAATGTCCTCTGTGGGGACCTTGGAGGCAATGCCTCCACTGGCATCTTCTGGCATCTTGGCTCCTCCCTGGGGCTCTGGGATTAGAGGTTTCCTGGCCCACAGCCCACTTTCCCACAGGAGCCTCCTCCAGCCTGTGCTTGGTTGTTCATCTGCACGAGCTGTCAGTGACACAGGGACATTGGAGCATGTTCTCCTTGCAAACACTCCAACATTCAGGTGGAGCTGAGGGGCCTTTGGCCATGTCCACAGCTGGGAGATCCCCCACCCTGCAAGGGGCACAGAGCAGGTGTGGTGCTGACACCAGCTGGGCCCTGCTCCCGGGTCACCCTGGCCAGGCCTTCCTCTGGCACCATGTGCAGGCACAGTGAGGGTGGACCAGGGCTGGGGCTCTCTAGGTACAGCTGCACACGTGTTCCCAGCATGAATCACGGATCAGGGCTGCGCCAGCACCTGCCGCTCTGGTGTTTGCTGTCACCAAGCACAGTGGCTGCGCACTCTTGGGTTAACCTCCTCAGGCACGCGTGTGAGTGACTCACCAAGACTGTGGCTGAGTGAGGATGTGTGGCCTGGAGTGGTCACTGCCCAGTTGCCTCTGGCAGAGGCAGACCCAGAGCCCTGTGGCTGTGTTCCAGGCCCTTCTCCCCACCCCTTGCCCTAGTGGTGGTGAGGTGAGGTGCATCACACCAGGTTCATTTATTTATATTAAAAAAATTTTATTGACACATAATAGATGTACATATTTTTGAGTTGCCTGTGATAATTTAACACGTTCATGTAACTTGTAAAGATCAAATCAGTGCAATATAGACATCCATCATTTTAGAGATTGGTCTTTTATTCCAGAAACATTTGAATTCTAGCTATTCCGAAATATAAAATAGATTATTGTAAACTATAGTCACTGTATTGATTCATCAAACACGATTTCTTATTTCTTCCATCAAACTGTGTATTTCTAGCCATTAACCATCCTCCCTTTTTCCCCCTGTCCCGCCACAGGCTTTGGTAACCATTGAACTTTCTACCTCCTTGAGATCCCCTCCTTCAGCGCTCACATATGAGTGAGGCCATGTGATGTTTGTCTTTCTGTCCACGGCTTATTTCACTGAATGTAATGACCTCCAGTTCCATCTATATTGTTGCAGATGACAGGATCTCATTCTTCTTTATGGCTGAATAGTACTCCATTGTGTATATGTACCGCATCTTCTTTATCCTTTCATCTGGTATGGAAACTTAGGTTGATCCATATCTTAGCTATTGTGAATAGTGCTGCAAGAAACATGGGGTACAGATATCTCTTCAATATCCTGGTTTCCTTTCTTTTGGATATGTACCCATTAGTGGGATTGCCGGATCATATGGTAGTTCTGTTTTTAGTTTGTTTTTTTTTTTCAGAGATGGAATCTCGCTCTGTTGCCCAGGCTAGAGTGCAGTGGCACAATCTCAGCTCACCACAACCTCCACCTCCTGGGTTCAAGTGACTCTCATGCCTCAGCCTCCCAAGTAGCTGGAACTACAGGCGTGTGTCACCACACCCAGCTAATTTTTTGTATTTTAGTAGAGATGGGGTTTTGGCATGTTGGCCAGGCTGGTCTCAAGCTCCTGGCCTCAAGTTATTCTCCCACCTTGGCCTCCCAAAGTGCTGGGATTACAGGCTTGAGCCACTGCATCTGGCTTGCTTTTAGTTTTTAAAGGAACTTCCATACTGTTCTCCATAGTGGCTGAACTAGTTTACATTCCCACTAACAGTGTACGAGGAACACTTTCTCCACATCCTTACCAGTGTCCATTATTCCCTGTCTTTTTTATAAAAGCCATTTAAAATGGGGTGGGATAATATCTCATTGTGGCTTTGACTTGCATTTCTCTCATGATTAGTGATGTTGAGTACTTTTTGCATATATGTGAGCCATTTATGTCTTCTTTTGAGAAATATCTATTCAGATCTTTTGGCCATATTTTAATTGGATTTTTTTTATATTGAGTTGTTTGAATTCCTGGTACTATATATTCTGGTTATTAATCCCTTGTGAGATGAGTGGTTTCAGATATTTTCTTCCATTCTGTGGGTTATTTTTTCACTTTGTTGTTTCCTTTGCTGTGCAGAAACTTTTTAGCTTGATGTAATCCCATTTGTCTATTTTTGCTTTGGTTGCCTGTGTTTTTGAGGTCTTACACAAAAAGTCTGCCCAGACCAATGTCCTGCAAAATTTCCCCAATATTTTCTACTAGTAGTTTCATGGTTTTAAATCATATAAGCCTTTAATCTGTTTTGATGTGATTTTTTAATATAGTGAGAAATAGGGGTCTAGTTTCATTCTTCTGTATATGGATATCCTGTTTTTCCAGTCCATCTATTGAGGAGACTGTCCTTTCCCCAGAGTATGTTCCTTGTGCATTTGTCAAAAATGAGTTGGCTATAAGTGTGTGGATTTATATCTAGGTTCTCTCTTCTGTCCATTGGCTTATGTGTCTGCCAGTACCATGCTGATTTGGTTACTACAGCTTTGTAGTATATTTTGAAGTCACTATGATGCTTCAAGCTTTATTCTTTTTGCTCAGGATTGCTTTGGCTATTTGGGGTCTATTGTAGTTACATATAAATTTTAGAATTGTTTTTTCTATTTCTGTGAAGAATGACATTGGTATTTTGGTAGTGATTGCATTGAATCTGTAAATTGCGTTGGGTAAAATTGTCATTTTCATTGAAATTCTTCCATTCCTCAAACATAATGTATCTTTCCATCGGCTTTCATTTTTATTTCCCTAACCTCTTCTCAGGTGGCTGTCTAGGCTGCCTTTGTGTTTCTCCAGCTGAGCTCTTGTTCCCATCCTGTGTCAGTTTCTCCATGGTTTTCTCTGTAGGAGTTCTTCATTCTTTTTGCACACTTATCCTTTGTCTCTTGTATTGGGTCCAACTATTTTCTCCTAGGCTTTTGCTTGCTTTTAAATTTTATTTAGAAGTTTTGTCCTACAGAATATTTAAACTTTGATGTAGCTAAATTAATCATTTTTCCCCTTTGGTTTTTGCTTTCTATTGTGTGTGTGTGTGTGTGTGTGTGTGTCCCTTACCCTTAAGGAATTTAAATCCCTGATCGTGTGTGGGTGTGTGTGTGTGTGTGTGTGTGTGTGTTTCCCTTACCTTAAGGAGTTTAAATCCCTGATTTAGGTTCAAATTTTTTTCTGGCTGTCCACTTCCCTGGTTGCTCAGGACATCCAAGCCCTGCCTTTCTGGCAGAGGGAGCTGGGAAAAGTTAACCACCTCTCTTTGTTCCTGTCCATAAGCCTTGGGCGTCTGGGTGCCTGTAGCATTGCTCGGGTGACCACTGGCCTTGGCAAGAACAGTTTGCATCAGGAGAAGAGGAGGGGAGGTGAGAACACACTGTGGGCATGATTCTTTGTATAGTTTTGCCATGAAGAGGAGGAGGGGAATGAAGTGAGAGATAGCTTGACGTCAAGGCTGGGTTTATAGAGGCAGATCCTAGAGCAAGTTTCTGTTCTCATCAGATGATCCCACAGAGGTAGAGGGGAGAAACTGAGGAGGCAGGAGAGAGGGGTTCCTTGTAGGTGCGACCCCTTGAGAGGACCCTGGTAGGGTCCCAGGCCTAGGGGAGACACTGGCCTTTCTGGTGCTCTTTTAATTCTCTGTTTCCTCTTCTGCGTAAAGTGATCGTTAATAGTCTAGCCTTCCCACAGTCCCGTAAGGATTAAAGGAGGTAAAGGCATACTGCATAGGTCATCGGTAGCTGTGTCTGTTATTTTTTGAAAAGATTAGGGATCTGGCATTGCAGGGACCCCATGATCCCCACCCTGTTCTGCCAAGCATCCTTCCTCCTCATGGTTCTGGGGCTTCCACCCAGAGAAGCAGAGTGGGGCCTGGAGAGCCGGCCGATAGCTCAGCTCTGTGTGGTACGGGTTCCTCCCAGTGTGGGCAGGGTCCAAGTCCTCCTCCTCTCCTTTCTTCTCCACTAGCTGTCTCTCCATGATCTCCAGGCTTCCAGTGTGAGCCTGGCTCAGTTTTACCAGCATTGCTACAGAGGATGTGATAGGAATTTAAAGAAAATGGCTGGTCTGGCCTGAGGGGTCAGGCTGGAAGGTTGAGGACGAGAAGGTCATGAGGAAGGTGGAATGGGTTCTGCTGTTAGGACCTAAGGGATGCAGCAGTGGCCTTGCCTAGCCAGGAGAGTGGCCATTCCTGCCTGTGGGAGTGGGGTGGAGAGTTGGAGGGGCCTGGTGTGGTGAGAGGGAGGCATTTTCTGCCCCTGGCATTGGGCCCCTGCAGGTCCTTCAGGGAGGTGGGAGGCAGGTGGGAGTAGGCAGTTCCCATCTCTGTTTATTGCCTCTTGGAGCCACACCGGTGCCGCCTGGGCCCAGGTTCTCTGGGCTGGATGAGGGGCACCGTTCCTGCCACCGAGGGTGCCGCCAACTCGAGATGCCTCCCTGTGCCCTGTCCCCACTGCACATCACAGTCGCCCAGGCCGGCGGCTCCTTTGCTAACTCATCACCTGCTCCATTCAGGCCCCTGAGAAGGAAGCACGGAGGAGGCAAGAGGCGCCATGACTCTCAGCTTCTCCCTGCTGCAAGGCACAGTGTGGGGCACACATCCCTGTTCAGTTCTTCCGTCAGCTCCTCCTGAATCCATAAATTCCTTGGGAAAATGTTTTACCAGCAGTTGGGAGGCATAAGCCTACCACCTCATTCCTTACCTGAAACTGTGATTGACAAGCAAGGATGACAAGCAGGCATGTAGACATTTTACTGAACACGGGCCAGAGATGTATACTTTCTATCAAATAAAATCCAGGATCTAGAACATGGATTAAAAAAAACAGTGAGTGTGTGGGCCTGTGTCTGTGTGGGTAAACATTGGAAGGATATACACTAGACTTGCACTGATTATTTTGGAATAGTGAAATTGTCAGTGATTTTTAAAGTGTTATTTTATTTATTTATTTATTTATTTTTGAGACAGAGTCTTACTCTGTCCCCTAGGCTGGAGTGCAGTGGTGCGATTTCAGCTCACTGCAGCTTCCGCCTCCCAGGTTCAAGTGATTCTCCTGCGTCAGCCTCCTGAGTAACTGGGACTACAGGTGTGCATCACCACACCTGGCTAATTTTTTGTATTTTTTGATAGAGATGAGGTCTCACCATGTTGGCCAAGCTGGTCTCAAACTCCTAGCCTCAAGTGATCCACCTGCCTCTAGCTCCCAAAGTGCTGGTATTACAGGCATGAGCATCGTGCCCAGCCTCGTTATATTATTTTGTATTGTCTAAATTATATTTTTTATTAACACATGTCACTTTTGTAATTGGAAAAATAATCCAGTTATTTTCATTTTGGAAAGGAAAGGAGGCTGAGGTGGTTTATTGATTGTAGAATAGATGAAGAGATTGTGGGGCAGTCATACAGTTCAGTTTTCTACAGCAATAAAATAGATTCGGCAGCATGGCTGAATCTCAGAAATCTAATGTCAACTGAAAGAAACTGGACATGAAAAGAATCCGTGGAGTGTTACTTTGTTGATCTAAATCGCAAAGTAGGCCAAACTCAGCTGTAACACTTAGGGCTGCACACATTGTAAAACTAAAGAAAAAATAAAACAGATCGAGGAATGGTCATCCCCAGAGTGAGGCTAGTATCACCTCGGGTGGGGAGGAATGAGTTGTTATCAGAGAGGGGCTCAGAGTGGAGAGGCTGGTCATGCTTTGCTTCTTGAACTTAGTGGGAGTATAAGTGTGCTTGCTTTAATATTATCTCATAAATGATTCATAATTTTTTTATTGTGATATAAAGTTCATACCATAAAATTCACCCCTTTTAAATGTACAGTTCAGTAGAACAGAAAACTTATATTCACACAAAGACTTGCACATGAATAGTCATAGGAGTATTATTTATAATAGCCCCAAAGTGGAAATAACCCAAATGTCTGTCACTCATTAGTGGGTAAGCAAAATATGATATGTCCATGTAATTGAATATTACCCAGCTGTAAAAAGGAATGAAGTACTGATTCATGTAACAACATGGATGAAGCTTGACAACATTATGTTAGGTGGTATCTTACTGTGGTTTTGATTTGCATTTTTCTAACAATGAAGCTGAGCATCTTTTAATGTTAAGTGAAACCATTGTTTCATGTGCTTATTGGCCATTGTACATCTTTGGAGAAATGTCTGTTTAATTCCTTTGTCATTTAAATTGTCTTTTTATTGTTGAATTGTAAGTATTCTTTATATATTTGGGATACTAAACCCTCATTAGATATAATGATTGGCAAATACTTGCACATTTTGTGGATCGTCTTTACTTTCTTGAGAGTGTTCTTTGAAACACAACTTTCAAATTTTGATGAAATCCAATTTGTCAGTTTTTTCTTTGGTTGCTTGTACTTCAGATATCACATCTAAGAAACTGTTGCCTAATCCAAAGTCCCTGGGATTTACACCTGTATTTCATTCTAAGTGTTTTAGGTAGTTTTAGCTCTTATGTTTAACTCTTTAAGCCATTTTGAGTTAGTTTTTGTATGTGGTTTGAGGTAGGGGTTCAAATTCATTCTTTTGCATGTGATTATTCAGTTGTCCCAGCCCCGTTTATTGAAGACACTACTCTTTCCCCATCCAATGGTTTTTATACCTTTGTCAGAAATCCATTGGCCATAGATGCATGAATTTATTTATAGACTCTCAGTTCTGTTCTGTTAATCTATATTTCTATTCTTTGCCAATACCAAGTTTTACAATAAGTTTTGAAATTAGGAAGTCTGTGTTCTCCAACTTCATTCTTTTTTTTCAGGATTTTCTGTTCCCTTGCATTTCCATTTGCATTTTAGAATCAGCTTGTCATTTTCTCCAGAAAGAAAGAAAGAAGGAAGGGAGGGAGGGAGGGAGAAAGAAAAAAAAAAGACCACTGGAATTTGAATAGGGATTGTATTAAACCTGGAGATCAATGTTTTATAGTTTTCAGGGTACAAGTTTTGGACTTCTTTTGTTAAATTTGTTCTGAAGTTTTCTTCATTTCTTGCATTTCTATTGCAAATGCAATTGTTTTATTTATTTACTTTTAGATTATTCATTATTAGTGTATAAAAATAAAACTGGCCGGATACAGTGGCTCACAGCTGTAATCCTAGCACTTTGGGAGGCTGAGGCAGGAGGATCAGTTGAGCCCAGGAATTTGAGACCAGCCTGGGCAACATAGCAAGACCTCATTTCTACAAAAAATAAAAAACTATAGCCAAGCATGATAGCATATACCTGCAGTCCCAGCTGCTCAGGAGGCTGAGGTGGGAGGATCACCTGAGCTCAGGAGTTTGAGACCAGCCTGGGCAACATAGCAAGACCCTGTCTACAAAAAATAAAATACTAGCCAAGCATGGTGGAATATGCCTGTAGTCCCAGCTGCTCAGGAGGCTGAGGTGGGAGGATCACCTGAGCTCAGGAGTTTGAGACCAGCCTGGGCAACATAGCAAGACCCTGTCTACAAAAAATAAAATAGTAGCTGAGCATGGTGGAATATACCTGTAGCCCCAGCTACGCAGGAAGCTGAGGTGGGAGGATTACTTGAGCCTAGGAAGTTGAGGGTGCAGTGAGCTATGATCGTGCCACTGCACTCCTGCCTAGGTGACAGAGTGAGAGCCTGTCTCAAAACAACAAAAAAAAAACAACAACCAAACAACCCAAAAACCCAAACAACAACAAAACAAAAAAACTGACTTTCGTGTATTGACCTGCGTCCTCCAGTCCTACACCTTGCTGAACTTGTTTACTGGCTGTAATAGTTTGTGTGTATGTGGATCCCTTATGATTTTTTACGTATAAGATTATGTCGTCTGTAAACAGGGATAATTTTACTTCTTCCTTTTCAAGCTGGATACGTCTCATTTCTTTTCCTTGCTGAATTGTGCTGGCTAGAACCTCAGGTACAGTGTTTAATAGAATTGGCAAAAACAGGGATTCTTGTCTTGTTCCTAATCTTAGTGGGAAAACTTTCAGACTCTCGCTAAGTTTGTTAGCTTTGGGTTTCTCACAGATGCCCTTAATCAGGATGAGAACATTCCCTTCTATTCCTCTTATCATTATCAAATATCCTTCTTTGTCTGTGGTAAGAATTCTTGTCTTAATGTCTAGGAATAGAAGGGAATGTCCTCATCCTGACTAAGGGCATCTATGAGAAACCCAAAGCTAACTTTTTAAAGTGTTTTTATCGTGAAAGAGTGTTAGTTGTTGCCAAATGCTTTTTCTGTGTCTGTTGAGCTATGTTTTCTCCCCATTATTCTATTAATTTGGTGTATTACATTGATTTTCATATATTGAACCAACTTTGCATTCCTGAAATAAATCCCACTTGGTTATATTGTAAAAGTCTTTGTATGTACTAGTGGCTTGAGTTTATTAGTATTCTGCTGAGGATTTTGTGTCTGTATTCATAACACACATTGGTCTGTAGCTTTCTTGGGTTGTCTTTACACTGGTCTCATACAAGCGGTTGGGAAGTGTTCCCTTCTCCAATTTGTTGTTGAGAGTTTATGAAGGATTTGTGTTATTTTTTTTTAAATGCTTGGTAGACTTCTCTAGTGAAGCCATCTGGTGTTAAGCTTTTCTTTGTGGGAAGTTTTTTGATTACTAATTCAATCTCTTTATCTGTAGATCTATTAATATTTTTTATTTCTTCACGAGTCAGTATTACTAGTTTGTGTTTCTAGGAATTTGTACATTTCATCTAGGTTTTCTAATTTTTTTAGCTTTATTTATTTTTTAACGTTTAGGTTCAGGGGTACATGTGCAGGTTTGTTATAAATTAGGTATCATGGGGGTTTGGTGTACAGATGATTTTGTCACCCAGGTAATAAACATAGTACCTAATAAGTAGTTTTTTGGATTTTGTTTGTTTGTTTTTGTTTTTTTTCTGAGACAGGGTCTTGTTCTGCCACCCAGGCTGGAGTGCAGTGGTGCAATCTCGGCTCACTGCAACCTCCGCCTCCCACGCTCAAGCGCCACCTGCCTCAGCCTCCTGAGTAGCTGGGACTACAGGTACACTCCACCATGACTGGCTAATTTTTGTATTTTTTGTAGAGGGTTTCACCATCTTGCCTAAGCTGGTCTTCAACTCCTGAGCTCAAGCAATCTGCTTGCCTCGGCCTCCCAAAGTGCTGGGATTACAGGCATGAGCCACTGCATCTGGCCAGATAGGTAGTTTTTTTGATCCTCTTTCTCCTCTCACCCTCTGTTCTCAAGTAGGCCCTGGTGTCTGTTGTTCCCTTCTTTATATGCATGTGTACCCAATGTTTGGCTCTCACTTATAAGTGAAACATGGTATTGGGTTTCTGTTTCTGCATTAGGTTGTTTAGGATTATGGCCTCCAGTTCCATCCATGTTGCTGCAGATGACATGATCTTGTTTTTTCATGGCTGCATAGTGTTCCATGGGCATATGTACTACATATTCTTTATTCAGTCTTCTGTTGACAGGCATTAGGCTGATTTTGTGTCTTTGCTATTGTGAATAGTGCTGCGATGAACATACCTGTGCGTGTGTCTTTATGGTAGAATGATGTATATTTCTTTGGGTATACACCCAATAATGGGATTGCTGGGTTGAATGGTACTTCTGTTTTAAGTTCTTTGAGAAATCACCTCCACTGCTTTCCACAATGGCTGAACTAATTTACATTCCCACAAGCAGTGTATAAGCATTCCCTTTTGTCTACAACCTCACCAGCATCTGTTATTTTTTGACTTTTTAATAATAGCCATTCTGACTGGTGGCTTTTCCAATTTGTTGGCTTACAGTTAATCATATATTCTCTTATAGTTATGTTTAGTTTTGGTTGTAATGTTTCCTCTTTCATTCCTAATTTAACTATTTGAGTCTTCTGTCTTTTTTTCTTCATCAGTCTACATAAAGGATTGTCAGTTTTGTCGATCTCTTCAAGGACCCAACTTTTGGTTTTGCTGGCCTTTTTTTTTTTTTATTTTTTTTTACAATTCTCTTTCATTTATTACCAGTCTAATCTATATTAATTCCTGCCTTCTACTTTTTTGGGTTTAGTTTGCTCCTCTTTATCTTAAGGTGGAAAATTGATTTATTAATTTGTTCATTTCTTTTTAAAGAAATTGATAGTTATAGCTATAAACTTCCCTCTAAGCACTACATTAACACATGCCATGATTTTTTGGCATGTTGTATTTTCATTTTCATTCATCTCAAAGAAATTTCTAATTTATCTTGTGATTTTTGTCTTTGACCCATTACTTATTTAAGAGTATGGGCTGGGGCATGGTGGCTCATGCCTGTAATCCTAGCACTTTGGGAGGCCGAGGTGAGCAGATCACTTGAGCTCAGGAGTTTGAGACCAGCCTGAGCAACACAGTGATATCCCATCTCTACAAAACTTTAAAAAATAATTTAGCTGGGCATGGTGGCACACACCTGTAGTCCCAGCTACTTGGGGGGCTGAGAAGGGAGGATTACATGAGCCCCAGAGGTCTAAGCTGCAGTGAGCTGTGATCATGCCATTGCACTCCAGCCTGGGTGCCAGAATAAGACCCTATCTCAAAAAAAAAAAAAAAAGTTGTTTAATTTCCGCATATTTATAAATTTCCTAAATGTCCTTCTGTTATTGATTTCTAATTTTATTTTGTTGTGGTTGGAAAACATATTTTGTATGATTTCAGTCTTAAATTATTGAAGTTATTTTTCCTAAGATAGATCAAGCCTGCAAAATGTTCCATGTGCACTTGATAAGATTGAGTATTCTGCTATTGTTGCGCGGAGTGTTTTGTATAGATGTGTTTGATCTAATTGGTTTATAATGTTGTTGAAGTCCTCTTTCTTTTGTTGAAATTCTGTCAAATTGTATTATCAATTGTTGGAAGTGAGGTATGTCCAACTATTATTATTGAATTGTCTTTTTCTTCCTTCAGTTCTGCCACTTTTATGTATTTGGGGGCTTTGTTGTTAGGCATATGTACGTTTGTAATTGTTATAGCTTCTTGATAGATTGACCCTTTTATCATTATCAAATATCCTTCTTTGTCTGTAGTAAGAATTCTTGTTTTTATGTCTGTTTTGCCTGATATTATTAATAGTATTAAAGCCACTCCAGTTATCTTTTGGTTATTGTTTGCATGGTATATTTATTTAAATCCTTTTACTTCCAACCTATCCATTTATACTTAATGTAATAATTGATAAGATGGGATTTATGTCTGCCATTTTGCTATTTGTTTTCTGTCTGTCTAATGTCTTTTTTCCCTGTTTCCCCATTACTGCATTGTTTTGTACTAAGTAGATCTTTCCTAGTGTATCACTTTTATTCACTTGTTATTTCTTTTATATTTTTTTTTCTTAGCAGTTGCCCTGAGGATTACAATCAGCACCTTGGTTTATAATAATCGTGTTTGGATCAATAACAACTTAATTCCAACTTGATTTATGTGGTTGTCTTTAAATTGGATAAGAGTAAAAAGAGTTACTAACAAAAATGTGTTTATACTTAAAAAAAAAAATCTGTCTAGGTGGTTACCTTTGCCGATGCTCTTCCTTCCTCTGTGTGGATTCTAGCTAGTGTCTAGGATCCTAATTCGGCCTTAAAGACTCCCTTTCGTGTTTCCTTTAGGGCAGGTGTGCTGGGGACGAATGCTCTGTGTCTGTTTATCTGAAAATCTCTTAATTTCTCCTTTACTTTGAAAAGATAATTTTGCTAGTTAAGAATTCTTAGGTGACAGCTTTTGTTCTTTGAGCACTTTGATGCCATCCTGTTGCCTTCTGGCTTCTATTTCTGATGAAAAATGAGCTGTTAATCTTATAGAGCAGTGGTCCCCAACCTTTTTGCCACCAGAGACTGGTTTTGTTGAAGACAATTTTTCGATGGACTGGGGCGGAGGGGAGGCACTGGTTTGGGGATGAAACTGTTCCACCTCTTCATTAGGCATTAGATTCTCATAAGGAGCACACAACCTAGATCCCCTGCGTGCGCAGTTCACAATACGGTTTGAGCTCCTATGAGGATCTGATGCTGCCGGTGATCTGACAGGAGAGGGAACCTGATCAGGCAGTGATGCTCGCCGGGAGCCGCTCACCTTCTGCTGTGTGGCCCAGTTCCCAACGGGGGTTGGGGACCCCTGCTCTAAAGGATCTCTTGTACATCATGAGTTGCTGCTCTCTTCCTGCTTCTAAGATTCTTGGCAGGTCTTGGTGTGCTCTCTCGGAGTTTACTCTACTTGGAATTCGTGGAGCTCTATGGATGTGGAAATTAATGTTTTATGAAATCAGGAAAGTTTTTGCCCATTATTTTTCAAATATCTTTCTGCCTTCCCCCTTTTCAACATTTATATTGTTATGCTTGATATTCTTCCATAGTTCTCGGAGGTCCTGTTTCTTTTTCTTTATTCTTTTTCATTTCCGTTCTTCATACTGAATAATCACTCTTGATTTATCTTTCAGTTCAGCAATTCTTTATATTCTCCCTGCTCAGATCAGCCATTTGCTCTTCTAGGGAATTTTACATTCCAGCTCTTGTACTTTAGAACTCGTGAATTTCTATTTGGTTATTTTTAAAAATAATTTTCATCTCTATATTGATACTCTGTATTCAAGTAGACATCATTCTGAAACTTTTCTTTGCTTCTTCCGGTACGGTTTCTTAAGTTCTTGGAACATATTTAAAACAGCCAATTCAAAGTTTTAGCCTCCTTCAGGGACAGTTTCTATTAATTTTTTTTAATGGGCCATACTTTCTTATTTCTTGGCATGTCTCATTTTTATTGTTGAAAACTAGACCTTTAACAGTATATAACGTGACAGGTGTGGAAATGAGATTCCCCCCTTCCCAGGATTTACTGTTGCTGCTTGTTGTTGTTTGCGTAGTGATTTTTCTGGACCAATCCTGCAAACATCCTCCATTCTCTGTTGTATGTGGCCACGGCAGTCTCTGCCCAGTGCCAGCTGATGACCGGTTACAGATTTCCTTGAACTCCGTGCCTGGAACTCCATGCAGGGAATGAGTGTGCCTCCTGGTCTTTACCCAGTGGCTCTGTGTGCACACTGGGTACATCCAGTCCGGTGCTCACCAGAGCCTCCCCAGCCTTTACCTGCTGCTTGTGCAAAGTGTCCAGGAGGTACAAACTTGGGGCCTTCCTAGGAATTTCCTGAGTGTGTTCCTAGCCATGGGTGTGGCACTATCCATTGGTGGCCTATTAGGTTGGTGCGAAAGTAATTGCAGTTTTTGCTGTCAAAAGTAATAGCAAAAACTGCAATTACTTTCGCACCAACCTAATAGATGCCCAGAGTGTGCGGGAATTTTTCGAAACCCCTGTTGACATCCCCTTCCTCAGCTTTTCCTTTTAAGTGTTTTCATTAGTCTGTTGTTCACCCCAGCTGGTAGCCACTGTGCCTATAATTGTTTTCTACTAACTTCTCCCAGGGCAAAAGGTTTTGCACCAGGTGAACTCCAAGTGGGGTTAAATACAGACAGCCCTCCAAGTGGGGTCTTCCAGGGATCTCCAGATGGGTCAAAAAATAATTCTTTGGGCATGGGGACTTGTAAGAACTCCAGCCTTGTCATGCCCTTCAGGCTGCTGGCTCTCACTGCAGTTGCAGGCTGTCAATTTTCAAGGCTAGGGCAGAGCTGGAGAGGGTAGTGGGACCAGGCATGTTAGAATGTCACCAGCATCTTGAATGTTACAAAGTGATCTTTCTTGCTGAGAGTCAGCAATTTTTCTTGAATGGGTATTCCTGGATGCCTTGAGCCTTTGGTATCAGTAAGAGTTCTGAAAAAGATGATTTTGACAGTTTTTGCTGGGTTTTTTTTAAATTGCTTTTATAGGAGAGAGAATTTTCAGAGGCCCTTTTTTGCTGACTTTAGCCCATATATGTTTGTGCTTTTCTGTATGTTTTGTGCTCACACATGTGCATATTAAACAACAAACTATTGTAAATTGGGGTGCAGGAGGCTGGTGGAGCAGGTGCTGAGTAAGGGCTGTGGGTTGGATGGGACCATGCCGGCCTGGGGCTGGACAGGTGCCTGAGGCTCCTTGGGTGTTAGCGCCATGGGAATCAGGAACTTGGCCCTACAACTTTGTGTCTCCCACTGTAGGGCTGCCAGGCGCCCAGCTGTGCCCAGATGGATGGGACAGAGACCCGGCAGCGGAGGCTGGACAGCTGTGGCAAGCCAGGGGAGCTGGGGCTTCCTCACCCCCTCAGCACAGGAGGACTCCCTGTAGCCTCAGAAGATGGAGCTCTCAGGGCCCCTGAGAGCCAAAGCGTGACCCCCAAGCCACTGGAGACTGAGCCTAGCAGGGAGACCACCTGGTCCATAGGCCTTCAGGTGACCGTGCCCTTCATGTTTGCAGGCCTGGGACTGTCCTGGGCCGGCATGCTTCTGGACTATTTCCAGGTAAGAGGGAACTAAATGGGGACAGGGAGCGGGGCACTGCCGAACATCACCTATAGAGTAGGCAGCTGCATGTAAGGTTGAGCTTAAAGGTTGTCGGGCAGTCCTCTTGAAAAGCCATTTTTTTTTTCTATATATTGGGCAAGATTCTTTTAGTCTCTGGTGACAGAGACTAAATTTAACCCAAGTTAATCTTCAGTAGACAATTTATTAGCCCATATGATTGATGTAGACCAAAATTTACTTAATCATTTCCCTTCTGATGTACTTTGAAGTTTAACAACTGTGTCAGTCAACTACTGCTGCCATAACAAAGTCCCACACACTGGGGTGCTTCAACAACAGACATTTATTTTCACACAGTTCTAGAGGCTGGAAGTCCAAGATCAAGGTGTTGGCAGCATTGGTTTCTCCTGTGGCCTCTCCTTGGCTTGCAGACGGCTGCCTTTTCTCCGTGTCTTCAGGTGATCTTTCCTCTGCATGTCTCTGTCCTAATCCCTCTTCCTAAGAGGACACCCATCAGATTGGGTTAGGGCCCACCCTAATGACCTCATTTTAATTTAATTACCTCTTAAAGGCTGTGTCTCTAATTATAGTCTCATTCTGAGGTACTGGGTGTTAGGACTTCAACATACGAATTTTTGCAGGGACATAATTTAGCCTGTAACCACTTAAAAAACAAATGTTGCAGTGAATCATCTTGACATAAATCATTGTATACATCTCTGAATAAATTGGTAGGATAACTTGTTGCGAGTAGAATTGCTGGGTAAAGAGCATGTGCATTTGTGGCTTTGATGGAGATCACCAAATCATCTGCTTAGTGGTGCGGTGGCCGGGGCGGGGGGCGGGGGGGCGGTCCAACCCACAGACCCTGACCCAGTGACAGATGAGACATGTACATTGACACACATTGACACAGATATTTTGCCTGTCAATCCAGCTAAGGGGCTGTGCTCTGAGTCTGCAGCATCGCCCCATACGCCGGCGAAATTCATATTTATTTAGTACAGATTAAATGACAAAGGCTTTGAGTCAACACACCTGTGGGTAATTAATTTGGTTGCCCTCCACCAGAGAGAGCAGTCCTACAGATGATCAAAGGTTTGTCTTAGGACCGCATGAGTAAACAAGCTATTTAGATAAACTCCCCCACATTCCCTTGTTATTTGCTCTTCTGCTATCAACTCAAGGTAAAGAGGATTAGGCTGCCTTCAGCTAAATCTTTTACTGAAGCTATGCAACACCCCGGCCTTCCAAGAAGGTTTGTGACTATTTCCTATAACTATCTTTATAATTTTTCCCACTACTCTGACTGAACTCCCGCATAGTGGTAGGATGTTGTACTTCCTCCAGTACCACAGGGAAATGCTTGTTCCCAACACTCATCAACACAGGTTTTTTCAACCTTTTTGATCTTTAGTAATCTGCCAGCTGGAAATTGCATTTCATTGTATTAATTTAATTTCTCTTGATGCCTAACAAGTTATCCCAAAACTCACGCGTTATATTAAGCATGTATGTATCCCAATAAAACACACATGGTTCATATGATAGCATGTATTATCTCGTGGTTACTGTGGGTAAAGAATCCAGGTGAAGTTTAGCTGGCTTTTCTGCTTCATGGTCTCTCCTGAGGCTGTGGCACTAGCCCAGCTCACTTAGAGGGTGACATTCCTGGTGGATACTGGACTGCGAGCCTCAGTTCCTCACTGCTGTTGCCCAGAGGCCCCCTCAGGTCCTCTCCATGTGGACATCTCCATCATGGTGCCTGCCTCATCAGGGTACAGTCCAAGACGGAAAAATAGTCTGCTGGCAAGACAGACATCACTGTCCTCTGTAAACTAGTCATAGAAGCAGCATGGCCTTGCTTCTGTTGGTGAGAATCAGGTCACCAGGTTGAGCCACATTTCAGGGGAAGCAATTGGCTAAAAGCATCAGTACCAGGAGGCAGGGTCGGGGGCCTTCCTCCAGGGCTGCTGCCTGCTGTGGTCATTATGGTGTGATCTGTGCTCCTTATTATGAGTGAGACAGGTTGAGGTCTTGATATTTCTATTTATATTCTTTGCTCATTTTTCTATGGGGTGTTTTTCTGTTTTCTTATTGATACCTAGGGGCTTTGTATATATTAAGGAAATTGATCATTTCATTGTGATGTGGATTATAAATGTTTCCTTTTTTTTCCATTTATCTTTTGACTTTGCTTTTGGTGGCTTTTTGCTATGCATTCATTTTTTAAAATGCAGTCTCAGTCATCTTTCTTCTAAGGCTCTGAGCCTATGCCTTCCTTAGAAACAGAAGCTGCTTTTTATACAGGTGCCCATCTGCCCATGTGCGTGCACAGGGCAGCACATATTAGAGACTAGGGATGTGTTCCCATGAAGAAGAAAAACTCTCTGCTACAAGTCTGCTTTCTTTTCATTGCATATATGAGAGGTTCAAAGTGGGTGTACACAGCTGTCGTGCTGGTCTGCATCGGTTTGTTGGCTGGTTAGTGTTCAGTTCAGTGCAAACATTTCAAAACTGGAAGCTTTTCATTAAAGTGCTTATATTCAGCTCCTCTTTAAAACTCAGAAGATTTGGCAACATGTGGTTTTTGTATCAGTTTTATATCGCTGTGTTCCACATTACCACAAATTTAACAGCTTAAAACAGCACGCATTGATTAGCTCATAGTTCTGTAAGGCAGAGGGCAGGCATGGTATGGCTGGGATCTCTGCTCAGGGTCTCAACAGCTGAAATCCACGTGCTGGCCAGGATGCATTCTCTTCATGAGGCTCTGGGGGAACATCCACTTCTAAGCATAGTCCTGTCTTCAGAACTCACCTCCTGGTGCTGGGTTCCTCCCTGAGGTTGAAGGACTGCAGTTCCATTTCCTTGCTGGCTATCAGCCAGGGGCTGCACTTCACTTCTCGAGGCCACTCCTACGTCTTGCCTTGTGGCCCTTCCATCTTCAAAGGCAGCAGTGGAGAAACCTCCCTTGGGTGAAATCCCTCTCTGACTTCAGGAAGCACCTGCTCCCTTTAAAGGGTTTACCTGATGACGCCAAGCTCCTCCAAGTTAATCTTTCTGAAATTCCACCAGGACTCCTCACTGGAATGCGTGGAGCAGGCAGGAATGGCAGCAGTCTCCAGAAACTGATGCAGTCCTGGGCTCTGTGGGTGGACTGGGATGAGCATTGTGTGCATGTGCCGGGAAGAACGGGGGTCTCCAGGCAAGCTATGGCCTTACAGAGACACCGAGCGGTCTAGAAAGGCCAGGAGGGCAAGAGGGCTGGCTGGAGGGGTGTTTCATGTGGGCAGAGAGAGAAGACTGGGGGTGCGGGAGGAGGTGAGAGCAGCCTGTTTTAATTGCCTCCTCTTTACTCTGCTGGTGAGGGTGGGGAGTCCTGCCCTAGGGTTATGGGGATGGTGGACACTCAACACCTGGCTCTGGACAGGTGAGGACCACGGCAATTTGTTAGTCCTCATACCAGTCACCCAGGCAGGAGGATGCTGCACACCTTGCGGGGCCACTGGGGAGCAGAGTGAGTCAGCAGGGGATGTGGGGGGCAAGATTTGTCATAACAAGAGAGTGGGAAACCTGCCCTCCATTCCTGACTATATGCGTAATTCCACAGGGTGGCAGAAACTGAAGCGTGCTCCTCGGGGATGTGGAGGGACAGTTCCTGCCCTGAGATAAGGAGGCTCTTGGGCTGGGAACCTCATCCACAGGAGCAGAGTCAGGAGGGGAACGCGCCGCTCACATTATCTTGCTTTCTCCAGGTGTTGAGGCCGCACTTCGTAGTTTTAGGCCTTACCCCACCATTGACCCCTTGATGCCTCGATGCCAGCTTAAGTCTTGGTGGTGACTGAGACTTCCAGGGAATAGAAGAGCCTCTCCAGGAAGCAGCACAGACCCTTGGCCAGGAGGGAGAGTACCATGTGGTGCTCTTGTCCAGGAAGGGCAACAGAGGGATTTGGTGGCCTGGGTATGGGGAGTGTGTGTCCCCGGGGGGGGGTTGGATCTGGCTTAATCAGTGCCTGTGACAGTGGTGACACCCAGTGGAGGTCACCTTGCCACCTGTCACTTCATCGGAGTTGAAGTGAGGGGCCCATGTGCCTCCTGCTAACCCTGGCTGCCTGTGGCCCACCCAGGAAGTAGAGGCTCCACTGGGTGCTTCCTGCAGAGCTGGTGCTCTATATTTCAAGAAGGAAATGAGGGCCTTGGCCACCGTCGGCCATGTCTGAACTTTAGAGAGGATCAGGAGTGACTGGCTGAGGCCTTGTGTGTGGCTGTAGTATATGTGTAGGCATTTGTTACCCTGTTTTATGTTTTGTGTGTCAGTGAGGCAGGAAATTCCCAGAGCTCTCTACCCCCAAGTGGGGCATCTTTGAGGCTCTGGGCCAAGAGCCTGTGCCCAGGTGCAGAGGGAGCTGCCAGCAGGCCAGGGCGCCTATGCTGTTGATTGCCTGATGCTTGGCCACTGCGCTGACCCTTAGAGGTTTGCTCTTTATCAGGGACTTCCTGGTTAAGATGGGAAGCAGCAGCCTTCCCCTGAGCTCCCTTGCATATTACACGGCAGCACCCACCGTGAAGCCTATAGCTCCCACCGTGAATGGCCAGCCCATCTCAAGGGGCCTTGGGTAGCCAAGAGGCCCAGGGAGGGGTGACTCCTCTGGCACCATGGCGTCTGGCAAAGGACTGAGGACAGGGGAGACCACCCCTCCTGCAGGTGGCATATGCCAGAGAGCCCAGGTTTGGCTCCATTCTATTTTTAAGGAGACCTCAGTAGCTGTACTGAGCTTGGGGGTGCCACATGTGAAGGCATAATGGGCAGTGGGAATGGAGGGTCACAGGCACAACGTCTGTGAGAACCTATGCTTCCAGGAGAGCCCAGCATGTGTCCAGCAGCTACTCCTCTGATGGTGCACAGTGCAGGGTGGAGGAGAGCATTTCCCTGGATCCGCAGCCCCTAGACAACTTACGGCCATCAGCCTGTAGACTCCAGGGCTTGAGGGGAGGTTGCTAATGCCCCTCTCTTCCATGAAGGCGTTTCTGGGGGCACTAATAAGAGTAACTGCTGATATTAACTTGGGCAGATCCTAGAACCTTTTGTTGGAGTGGCCTGTTTGAGTTGGCTTGCTTTGCAGATGACAGCATAAATGGGCGTAAGTAAAATTTGTAGATGAGAAATATGTTGCTTCCAAAACCCAAAAAGAACTAAAAGATATTGGAGACTTGTATTAATGTTGTGGATGCTGAGAAGGTTAATACTTCTTTTGTTGCAGTGTTGGGGACGGCTCTCAGTTTACCAAGTAATTTTCAGGCATTTAACCAAGGTGCCAGGCCTCGCACCACATGTAGGGTGATGGCCCCCTCTCTCATTGTGAGTGCCTTTGTGAGTTACTTGTATGCCCTTAATGAGTGTGTCAAAAGAGCCTCTGCGGAGGAGGGCATCATCAGTGTAATGTAACTGTGCTCCTGAGAAAGGCAGATGCAGGGGAGACCTTGGCCGCATGACTGTGTGTGATGGCAGAGCTGCGGAGGTCCCTGTGGGGAGCCTGGAAAAGGTATCTAGTGTCCCTTTAGAGGTGAAGGCCAACTGTGTCTGAGAGGCTGGTGAAATAGGCACTGAACAGAATGTATTAGCCAAGTCTATAGCAGCAAAGTACCAGTTGATTTGGATGGAGTCAGTGATTTCAATAATATTCGGTATTGGATGTGGGGGTCTGAATGGACAGGGTCATGCCATTAAGGTGGTGGTAATCCACCAGGAGGCACCCTTTTGTTCTCCCCAGGTTTAGGAATGAGCCATATTGGCCTGTGTAAAGGAGAAGCAGGAGGATTGACATACCCTGTTTAAGTCTCACATAATAAATTTCCCTCCTTGAAGGTCCTGTTGTAATTTGCATTGGGTAGTATTAACTGTTTTAATGGTGAGCAGGGGAGGGTCTGTGGAGTCTCATCTTGTCAAGCCAATTTGTAAGTCAGACCAGGTGGCAGGAGTGCCAGGGAGCACCCACCAGCCCCACACCAGCCTGTAGTCAGTTAACAGTGGTTCTCGTCATGGGGGCGAAAATAACCCTTTAGGGTGGGAGGAGATGACAGAGCCCAAGAGAGACAGCAGAGGTTCAAGCCAGCAATTTGCAGTTGCATCCCAACTGGCTGTGTGGGCTTGTTAGCAAGCAAAGAACAGGCAGGGAGAGCTGGCCAGGTGTCCTCAGTCACGGTGGGCCCATCTGTTTGTGAGCCTGTTGTTATGGTCACCTCCTCTTCACCTCATCAATGAGGGAGGGGGTCTCACCCTTGGGTTAAGGGTATGGTGGACCCTTGACACCCAGCCCTGGACAGGTGAGGGCCACAGCAGTTCGTTCATTCATTCATTCATTCACTCATTCAGGCAGCATATACTGTGTACCTGTGCCAGGCAGACACCCCTGCCCTCATGCCGCTCACACAGCAGGTTCTGGGGTCAACGTTGATAGCAATGAGGGCTGTGTGCTCCAGCAAGTGGTGGGAGCGGCCCTGCGGAGGGAGGCCAAGAAGATCCCCCTTCCCCAGGAGGAGGTGTTGCAGGGGAGGCAAGAGAGGCTGCTTGGAGACAGTGTGGGAGCAGGCCAGCCTGGCAGGGGGTGGACAAGTCTTTCATCTTCACCTGTGGGTGGGTTCTGCCAGTCGAGATCAGAAGCAGAAAATAAAGAAGAACCTTAACAGTTATTTAAAATTTAATTGGCCTGATCTGTGAGACCTGAACAAGATGGGGGAAGAATTCATGCCTGTAAGAATGACCATCTGGCCCAGAACCTGCCGAGGGTCAAGGTGACCCTGAGAAATGAATTGGATGCTGCGTTGGAAACTGCTCCTGGTAAACAAGCAGTTCCCACTGCAGTGTCAGAAATGTACTCCAGAGCCCCTGCCCACACTCTGTGGACCCTCCCCTAAAAACACACCCCAGTAAGAACGAGGTGGTGGGCAGAGATCAGTGGTCCTCAACGTTCTGATCCTGTGGTCTTTGTGGAGCCTGGGCGGCCTGTTGCAGAAGCTCCTCAGGTGGTCCTGGTGCCCCTGATGGGTGAGCACCACTGATCTTGTGCCACTTGCTCATGCTGTGGGCTGTGGGGTGGGTTGGAGGCCCAGAGAAGGTCACACAGAAACCGCTGGACCCGGCTTCCACCTGCTGCTCCGTGCAGCTGGAATCTAGTTCAAGCTCTTTGAGATTCTTCTGCTGTGCTACTGAGCTATTTTTAAAACCACACTTTTGATTTTCTGGATTATAACCCAGTGAGCTGTGTTGACATGTTTTCTTCTCAGGTTTTCACAGGAAAGTCATTTTTCTTATATAGTTACATTATTTGCTTTTGATAGTTTTTTATTTATAAAAGCAAATAGTCACAATTGTCAGAATAGACAAAAAATTATAAAGATTACTTATGAACCCACCACCCAAAGGCAACTACTGTTAACATTTTGGTATATATCCTTCTGAACGTTTCACTGTGCATGCACGTGTGTGTGTGTGTGTGTGTGTATCCTTCTCACTTTTTTTTTGAGACAGAGTTTTGCTCTTGTTTTCCAGGCTGGAGTGCAATGGCATGATCTCAGCTCACCGCAACCTCCGCCTCCCAGGTTCAAGTGATTCTGGTGCCTCAGCCTCCCGAGTAGCTGGGATTACAGGCATGCGCCACCACGCCCAGCTAATTTTTGTATTATTAGTAGAGACGGGGTTTCTCCATACTGGTCAGGCTGGTCTCGAACTCCCGACCTCAGGTGATCTGCCCGCCTCAGCCTCCCAAAGTGCTGGGATTACAGGCATTAGCCACCGCACCCGGTCTCTCACTCAATTTTTAAACAGATTTGAGAAACATTTTTGTAATGATTTGTAACTACTTGGTCAGACACCTCTTTCTATATGAGAGTCTGCAAATGGTTGTTTATTTCTGCGTCTCCTGTGCTGATGAGGGTGGTTCCAGGATTCACTGTGTATGATTATACGTTGTGTGATGATGTTTGACCACGTCCGAAACTATGATGACACTGTGAGAGGTGGTGACACCTGAAGGAAGTGATCACCTGTTTGGGGGCTGCTCAGCTGTATGCCTTGGGAATGTGCATCCCACAACAGGCCTTGAGCAGCCAGGGAAACTAGGCCAGCCTTAAAGACAGAGGACTCTGTCTTTAACCAGGTGATGCCTTTAAACCAGTAACCTTCTGCAACACTTCTCTCAGAATCAGGCCATTTCTCTCTGCCTCCTGCCGGTTCAATCTCCTGTTTGAACAAACTGATCCTAACCATGGATGACGGGCAGTGATGGGGTTGGCAGGCAGCCCAGAAGCTGAGGGTCTCGGCCTGCCTTTGACACTAACTTGCTGTGTGATCTTGGGAAACTGTTCATTTTCTTCATTTGCAAAACAGAATGCTATAGTTCCTGTGAACATCCCAGGGCTGTTGTGAAAATGATAGAATGTGAGAGAGCTCTGAGAAATACAGAGTGCTGCACAAGGGAACAAATGGGCACTCCTTCATCCAATTGCAGTGACTGAGTGTTACGGGCATTCCTTCATTCATTTGCAGTGACTGTTTGCGTGTGGCCGAGTCTGCTCTGTGCCCTTGTTATGCCCTGGGTTTGCTTCAGAGCACTTATCACAGATCATCCTTCCTTTCTTTCTTTCTTTCTTTCTTTCTTTCTTTCTTTCTTTCTTTCTTCTTTCTTTCTTTCTTTCTTTCTTTCTTTCTCTTTCTTTCTTTTTTGACTGATAACCTGTGTTTGTTCTGCTCGCAGTGTACCCTGGCATTTAGGGCGGAGGCTGGCAATTACTAGGCCCTAAGTACTGATCTGTGGAATGGAGCCATGGAGAAGCCCCAAGATTGCAGCAGTGAGAAGGGCTCTGTTCTCAGGAGGGGTGCGTGCCAGGGAGGGAGAGCAGATACACCTGCATTTTATGCTTCTGTTATGCAAAAGTGGGACCTGTCTTCAGGAAGGTTCAGAGAGTACGTTGGGAATTCTGGGGAAAGAGCTGTTAGGCTCTGGCTGAGAGGAGGTGCCTCAGCTGGCCATGAGGCCTGGCAGACGTTTGGCCTGGGTGATGTGTTGGCCTGCAGCAGAGGGGAGGAGCACGGGCATGGCCCCCGTGAGGGTCATGAGAAGTTCTGTCTGCAGCTGCAGCATATGACCATGTACTTGCAAGAAGGAGGCTCACGTGGATGTGTCTTTCCAGATTGCAAGGGGTCCGGATGCTCCTTTCTCAGGCAGTGTGTTGACCACACACTGTGTGAGCAAGGGCCATCCTCACAGTGCACCTGTGGGTTGTGCCTGTGAAGAGCACACAGTGGTTTTGTGAGGAGACAGATTAGAGGGACAAAGGGCCGTGGTGAAGGCAGCGTCTGTGGGCAGGAGTGGGGGACAGCTGTGGGAGAGGTGTGGGGACAGGCAGAGTGGATGTGGGACTGAGATGGTAGGGGCTCCGAGTGAGGCTTGCATTTCTGGCTGCACCTTTCCTTGAGGCAGGCCACTTGGGAGAGGCAGGCTTGGAAGTGGCAGTCCTGAGAGACTGGTGGAGTGAGATACATGCTCATCCCTACCAGAGCCTGGGTATATGATCTGAAAGCTCAGAGGAGAGGTCTGGGCTGTGAGAGGTTTGGGAGTTGCTACATCTGAAATAGCGAGATCACGGATGAGGAAGAGATTCCCCAAATGCAGTTAACTACGGCTATGTAACGAAGGACACCCAAGCTTAGCAGTTTGTTTAAAGCCAATTATTGTTTGATGCGGAATCTACAGGTTGGGCAGGGCCCGGTGAGAAGAACCGCCTGCTCTGCGTGCGTGGTGGCTGTTGGGCCAGCCCAAGACGGCCCACTCATGTGCAAGGCTGGGCTGTGAGCAGGACCCTGGCATACGGCCTCTATGTGTGACCACGTGGTCTTCCTCACAGCAGAGTGGCTGGGAGCATGAGCAGCCCAAGAGATAGGACATAGAAGTTGTCAGTTTCTTAAGATCCATGCCTAGAAACTGACTACCACAGCGTCTCTTCCACTTTGTTCTCTCGGTTAAGCTGTGGGGACAGAGGGAAGAGGGGGTCAGAAACTCTAGCTCTCAGTGGGAATTGTGCTGGAGTTTAGGGCCAGTTATGCATTGCTCCTATGAGGGGCTTAAAAATATCTGTTGAATGAATGAGTAAATGAAGGGTGTGCACAAAGACGCAGTGCAAGAAATATTGGGGGCACGAGGGGAACAGGTGCTGGAGAAATTCGTCTGGAGTTCGGTTGCAGGGACAGCCTTGGGGAGGCCGGTAGGATCCACACTGGGGAGGGCAGTGGACTCCAGGCTGGGGTCTGCACTTAAGCCTGGGATAGTCCGACGGGAGAACCAGGTAACGTGCCCACTAGGGCGACAGTTTAGGGATGGGAGTGGAAGTGAGGCCTAGACCCGACCACAGTGCTGGGTTCAGCTGGTGTGAGTCTGACCCCCAGCTTCGGGCTTCTGCCTGCCCCAGCCTGCCCTCAGGCCTGAACATTCTGTTCCTGGTGCCTGTGGAATGCGCAGAGGACACACCCAACAACAGAACCCCAGGAGTCAGAGGTGGCTTCCCAGCCCCTTCTCCTTCTCTGGGTGAGGAGGGGTCAGCAGGGCCAGTCTGACATTTGTAGCTGAAGAAAGCGAGGCCACTTTGGAAGCATGTTTATGAGTCTTCCAGGCCATGGAGGGAGAACAGGCCTGCGTTTTTTTCTGTGAACACAGCTTCCTGTGGCCATGAACCCCCTGGCTGGACACAACTTGAGATGACCCAGGGCGTGGCTTCCTGCTTGGGGACCCATAGACTGCTTGACCTTGAGGAATAAAACTCGAGGTCTGTAGAGCTGGCCTGAGGAGGCAGTCCCTCTGTGCTGATCTCTCCCCAGGCCCTCCTCTGCCAGGAGGGGAACAGCCCAGCACACTTGTACAGGGCGAGGTGGCAGCAGACCTCCGTGTGGGCACTCACCAAGGCCAGGCACCACGTGGGCTTCAGCTCTGTCCAGCCCAAGCCAGTATGGACCAGCCTGCTGGGCTGCTGATTGCTGTCAAGGCCGGTGCAGAGGGACCATGAGCCTCCATGGCAGACTGGCAGAGGGAGGTCCCGGCGGACACACAGCCACTGTCTGAGGAGAGCCTGACCTTCAGGGAGGGACAGCAGGGCCTGGCAGAGTCTCTGTAATGAGGCCGTGAGTCACACTGGCCTTTGTTCCTCACTCATCTGTGCTGGCCCTCAGCCGAGGGGCTGTTGGGGAACTCTCTGCAGGCACAGGGCACCTGGTGACTGGGAAGCTTCTGTTTGTGTGGACTTCTTGGGAACAGCGTCCTGGTGTGGGCCAGGAGGAGAGGACTGGAGCACCCCAGGCTCTGACTTCGTGCTCCTGGGATCGTGGTGCATTGCCTGGCCATGGTGGTCACCCAGCTGAATCTGGAGTTTTGCTTTCAGGGCAAGAAGCTGCGAGGCTTCAGCTGTGAGCTTACCCGGTCCCCACATGGGGTCTTGCCTGAATCTTTCTTCACCATCATGTGCCAGGTCGTGGTGCCCATTCTGCTGTCCGGCTTGTGCATGATGACAGCCGGCCTGGTGATGAACACCATTCAAGTGCGTACTGGGTGTTTGGGGGATCAGGGGTGGGAGACACACAGACTGGGTCTCCTGGCACCACAGACAGGGCAGGCTGGAGACATGAGGGGCCTCTACAGTGGGAGGGCAGCCCTCAACCTGCCCTTGCTGCTTGGGCGTCCCGGGTGTCAGCGAGGCTGGCAGGAGGGACCTCCAACGCTGAGACCTCAGCATTAGAGATTCGCAGAATGATGGAGGTTTGTCAGAACCTTAGCCTGCATGTGCCTCCTCAGCCCAAGGAGCTCAAACCGCCTTCCTCCCAGTGTATGTGGGCTCAGGAGGCAGAGTCTGCCACTCACCAGTGGAGGGGATTTTTAGTCACACTGTTCTGCCTTGATTTCCCCATCTGTAAAATGGGGATAATGAAAGCCCTCACCTCACAGAATTGTGAGGACCAGATGACTGAGTCTGTATGCTGTGGTCCCTGTGGGCAGAGCTGCAGTGTGCCCAGCCCGCAGCATCCTGGCGTGGCCCCTGGTAAAAAAGGACAAGGTTTGCAGCCCTGGGGGTGCAGGTGGGAGGGCCATGGCGGTCTCCCTGCAGTGGAGGCGTGTGCTGAGGGAGATTTGCTTATCACAGTCTGTTTCTCCCCTAGCATGGTTTGGGCAGCGTATTGGAATCATTGAGAGGTTTGTGCTATCTGTCAACTGAAACATTTCGTAGAGTCAGTTTAGAAAAATTGGAAAATACACCCAAGCAATGGAGGAAGGCTGTCCCTTCATCTCTATCACCGCTGCTGTGGACCTTTCAAGACAATTTTCTATGTACATATAAACATATACATATATGGTTTATAGTATGCAGTTTTGCTTTTTGTTTTTTTGAGACAGAGTCTTGCCCTGTCGCCCAGGCTGGAATGCAATGGCGTGATCTCGGCTCACTGCAACCTCCGCCTCCTGGGTTCAAATGATTCTCCTGCCTCAGCTCCCAAGTAGCTGGGATTACAGGTGCCCGCCACCAGGCCCAGCTAATTTTTTTGTATTTTTAGTAGAGACGGGGTTTCACCATGTTGGCCAGGCTGGTCTCGAACTCCTGACCTCGTGATCCACCCACCTCAGCCTCCCAAAGTGCTGGGATTACAGGTGTGAGCCACCGTGCCTGGCCTGCAGTTTTGCTTTTTAATCTGTAAATATAAATTTAAAATTTCAACCCATGAGGACACCCCAAGTAGCATTTCATGTTCCCGAGTGTATGCAGCACCTCCTTCCTAATGGCCACTCAGAGTCTTTCTGTGCCCCTGGGTCCAAGTTGGAGAGGGGCAGTCTGTACCCACCAGGCCACCCAGCCTCCTAATCTGAGCTCACGATGCCTCCCAGGTGGCTTCTGCTTGCTCGTCTCAGTTGATGGGACGCTCATCCCCTTTTGGGGCTGGGGTGGCCTTTTGCATCCTGGCCAGCCCCCCATTAGAAAGCCTGTGCTTCTGTGGGCTTGCAACCTGAATACCCACTTGTTCCCCCAATAGCCTCATCCTAGAGCTGTGCTGAGAGCTTGTCGCTCCTTCCCTGAGACCACCCTGCTGATGCTGGGGAGAGAGACTATTAGGCGTTCCGGAGGGCTGGGCAGGGAGTGGAGGCCACAAGGAGGTGTTTGCCTGTGAAGGAAGAGGGAGCAGTCATTCTTCCTAGGGGCCAGGGGATCTGCAGAGGAGCAGGACAATTTGATTTGGACTTTAAAGGTAATGTAGCAATTTCCAGGATGCCCTGAAAAGACGTGAACATTCCAAGCAGAGGGATTTGTGTGCAAAGATACAGGTGAATGATAGTGTGCATTTGTGGAAAGTGAGAGACAGGGGTGGCCGCTGTCATGGGGACAGTGATACTGGGCAGGAGTGAGGGGCTCTGTCTACTCTGCTCAGAGGGTGTGCCGTGCACTGAGTGTAGCAGGTGTTTGCTTTATGTTAAAATGAGTGTCTTGCTGGTTTTATTGAAGGGTAGCATAGACACGTAGGAGAGCACACAACTGTGCAGCTCCATGGACCACCTCAAGGTACAGGGGCCTTTGCAGCCCCACCTGGGGCATCCTCAGCAGAGCCCCAGCAGAGTCCTCTGTGCTTAGTCATCTCAGCCCCACCTCTGACTCCAGTGCTGTGGGTTTGCGTTGACTGTTCTTGACATATGCCTGTGTGTCTTTGGGGTTCATAGGACTTATGTGTTAGGTATACTCAGGAGAGGAGTTGGCAGTGAAGGGTTACAGGTGGCTGAGTGATGGGGTCATATTTGTGCCACAAAACCCACCCCAGACAGTGGTGTCAAAGATGACCCCGAGGGTGAGGCCGGAGGAGCAGGGGAGAGCTGGGGGACTGTGGGCAGAGTTCAGAGCCCCTCAAGTGCAAGAATCATTATTTCTGATGATTTCAGCCTCCCCAATGACTGATATAGGCATCTTTACAGTGTTGCTGGAGAGGGCGGTGGCAGAATTTAAAAGTTGTGATGACTTGAATGTCAGATTGGGGAAAAGAAGGTGTTGAGTCCTGGCTGGCAGAGCAGGAAGGACACGGGTGGCAAGGAGAAGTTTGGAGATTTGGAGTTTGAGGTGCTTGTGGGGTGTCCAAAGTTCAGCCAGAGTTGGATGGGCAGATCTGATGCTCACAGAGACTTCTGAGTCATAGACACTGGGAGGCACCCACACAAGCCCAGGGTATCAGTCAGTGTATTTGCTATTGGCTGCAGGTAACAGGAAACCTAACTCAAAGGGACTTTAAAAACAAAGACACTGATTATCTCTGTAAAGAAGTCTAGAGATAGGACAGTGCCAGAATTGGTTAGGTAAAAACAAAGACACTGATTATCTCTGTAAAGAAGTCTAGAGATAGGACAGTGCCAGAATTGGTTAGTTACTGGATTAACAGTGTCACCCAGTATTTTTTCACTTTACATTTGTATTAGTTTGCTAGGACTGCCATCACAAAATACCACAGAGGAGGTAGCTTAAACAATAGAAACTGATTTTTTTCCGCAGTTCCAGAGGCTGGAAGTCTGAGATGAAAGTGTTGGCAGGGTTGGTTTTTGAGCTTTGCAGATGGCCCTGTGTCTTCACATGGTCTCCCCTCTGTGCATGTCTAGGTCCTAATTTCCTCCTCTAATGAGGATGCCACGCATACTGGGCTAGGACCCACCCTCATGACTGCATTTCAACTTAATTATCTCATTAAAGACAGTCTCTCCAAATACAGTCATGTTTTGGTACTAGGCATGAGGACTTCACCATACGAGTTTTGGGGGACACAGTTCAGCCAGTGTCCATAGACTTTAGTCCCGTCACGGTTGTGTGATACCCGATGTGACCAGACAGGACTTCTCAGGTCTCACTGACCAGTCATAGCAACGTCTGGCAAGGAGGATGGGACCACTATGCATCAGGATTCAGCTTCCCCCGCCGTCTTCCGCCCAGGCTTCCTGCTGAAAGCCCCGGGAGCATGGAGCAGGTGGGGTGTCTGCTGGAAGATAGTGCTGTGTGCACAGTGGAAGGGTACTCGAGCTGCGGAAGGGAGAGGGTGTGAGGAGAAAGGAGAACTGAAAAGAAAGCAGGAAGGAAGATCGGTATTAACATGGTCAGGAGGAAGAAGAGGGGCCGAGATGGGGTGGATAGTGAGGTTGGCAAAGGACTGGGGGTGGAGGCCCAGAGGCCAGGGGAGAGGGTACAGAGCTGTGCCTGTCAGCAGGTGCTTTATCCGTGGAGGGGAGGACAGTGCCACCCTGCAGGGAGAGCAGCAGATGGGGCTTACCCATCAGGAGGCCACCACTTCCTTTAGGGAGACGGTGAGAGCCATAGAGTTGCAGCACTGAGGGTGATGGGTGAGAACAGGCACTTGTTCAGAGGTAGTAGTGCTCAGAGAGCAGGAGGAAGGCTGCTGGGTGGCGCAGGCTGAAAGGAGGAGTTTGCTGTGACTTTGGGGTTGGTAGGTGCCGGGTCTTGGGTATAGACAGAGAGAGTGCCCATGAGCACGCTGGGCTCCACAGGACGTTAGGGAGGGTGTGGGTGGTGGTGCCCAAAGGCCAGCTGGGGAGTACTTGATGATGGCCTTGGTTCCCCTGCTGAGGACGGAGGCCCACCCTATGTGGAGGGTGTGCAGGCTGAGAGGACAGCTGCACAGAGCTGTGGCCAGATGCCACCAGGAGACTGTGAGGTGTGGGAGGACACCCTGCCTGGTGGCATTGTTTTCTTCTCAAGTTTTAAGAGAGGGCAAACTCAGAACTCCATCAGAGCTGGAACTGGATTCTGAATTCCACAGCCTGGTAGATAAGGTACAGGAAGAAACTAAACAGTGCTCATCTTCCTTGGTCTGAGAGCAGAAAGGAGTCTTAAAGGGCCTCTGGTCTGATCTCTTCACCTTCACGCCTGGTCAAGCCTGTTGCTGGGCAGCTTATGGATGACTGTCCAAGTCCCTAGGGGCTGGGTGGATTTGCACATCTTTACACAGCTCTTGCCTTGTAGGGGATGGACAGGGCCTAGATCCCAGGCCGCCTTTCTCCTTGATGACGAAGCAGGGATTTGTTTCCAGGTCTAGAATTCCAAAACCAGGAGAAGCTTCTAGTGTTAGGCGTCAAAGATCTCAGCAGCAGCCAGACAGGCAAAATAAATCAGTAGGATCAGGTGGGGCATTAAAACTGATTTAGGGGAACATCTAATTGCACATTAAACAGTTAAGAATTGTTTTCACCTCTGCCAATAAGTGTTTTCTCTTCCATTTTCCTTGAAGCATGAATCCCTTTCATCTGTCTTTGAAGTTATTGATTTTTCTACTTTTAATGGGATAGAGGCATATTCTATCTGTTTTTAAAAACCCTGAGCCCCACAGGGTGCTCAGTGGCAGCAGGCACGCAGTCCCTGGACCTGGGGGCAGAGGGAGGCAGGGCCTGCATGGCCTGTGTGAAGATCGTTGATCCCCGGTAGAGTCAGGGCCCTTCCTCAGCCTGGCCGTCTTGTGGGTGTTTCTAGGCCTCCCCATTCATGAGAAATTCCCATCTTTCTCATCCGGGACCTGTGCATGCCTCTAGAGAACCCATGGTGCAGAGCACATGCAGCATGGCTGCCACCCGCTGGCCTCCAGCCTGGCCCAGCCCCCAGTGTGCTTACGGCCGCTGATACTGATTCAGTTAACAGCACTAAAAGGTTTTCACAGCTTCATTTATTTCTGTTTAGTTTAAAGCCATTTAAGAAAGTACTTAGTCCTATTTGTTCATTTTATAGGGAGTGAAAAGTGACTTGCTGAAGGTTCTCTCAAGAAATTTCCAGAGATTTGCTGATGTGTGTGTTTGGCTTATCTCCTTACTGTTTCCCTACCAGCACTGGCCTGTGTTTGTGGAGGTGAAAGACCTTTTGACATTGGTGCCGCCCCTGGTGGGCCTGAAGGGGAACCTGGAGATGACACTGGCATCCAGACTCTCCACAGCTGTAAGTGGACACCTGGACATTCGAGGCGGCCACAACGTGAGGCAGGCGCGTCCCTACCACCTGGTCTCCCCTGGCTTGTGGGCGGTGGGTTGGATTCTCCAAAACAATGGATATTTCTGGGTTTTGATACCTCATCATGCTGTCCCTTGTCCCTCTCCCAGCCCAATGCCTTGGCTTTCCACTACCAAACTGGATGACTGAGGGATGTGCACAACCCTGTTTGCCCCTGTTCCTCCTTTGACCTAAATGTCAGTGGGTGCCTTGTGCCCCGAGTCTGCACACCGCCCTGCCACCCGCATCCACCTGGACCCTGAGCTCAGCCCCATCACACGTTCACACAGAAGCCACGACAAGCAATGCAGACCTGATGGAGGGTTCCATGGAGGAGACAGGAAGGTTTTGTCACCCAGATTAACCTTTCTCAGTGGCTTCTGCTCCCCAGAATGGCTCCCTGAATGCTTGATCACTGGAGGTGTCTTCTCTGGGCTCTTGAACCAACACAGTTCCTAGCTTTACCAGCTCTTCTCACACCTTCCCAGCTATCCCAGGAGACTGAAGCTTTTTCCCTTCTACTACACAGAATGGTTTCTCCCTTTCTCTGATGCCCATGTGATATCCTGTAGGTGACAAAGACTGTGGCAAGAGGAGGTTGTGGTGTGTTCAAGGATCTGAGAGGACAGCAACGTAGCTATAGAGTAGAGGGCAGGTGGGGTGGGGGCAGGGGGCTGCCGAACATGAGGCTGAAGAGATAGGTGAGGCGCAAGTGGCTGAACAGTGGCCCCAGAGATAACCAGGTCCTGGTCTTGGAACCTGTGGATGTTAACTTATAGGGAAGAGGCCCTTGCAGAGGTGACTAAGAGAAGCCCCTTGGGATGGGAGATTGTCCTGGATTATACAGATAGACCCAGTGTAACCACAGGGGTCCTTATAGAGAGGAACAGAGGGACGTTTCAGACAGGAAAAAAGGCCATGTAGTGGAAGCAGCATAAGAGAGGAAAGATACTGTGCTCCTGGCTTTGACGACAGAGGAAGGGCCATGAGCCAAGAGATGGAGCTCTGTGTGCTGGGAAAGAGAAGGAAACAGATTCTCCCCTAGAGCTTCCAGAGGGAGTGAGGTTTTGATTTTGACCCCATAAGACTCATTTCAGACTCCTGTCCTCTAGAACTATAAGAGGATAGATTTCTTTTGTTTTAAGCCACTAAGTTTGTTACAGCAGCGAGAGGAAACTAACACATGGGGCCAGATCATGTGGAGCCTTGTGGGATGTGGAAATGTCTGAGCAGCTGGTAACATGATACAGCTACACACATGCACACACAACTCATGTATACACATGCATACGTGTGTGCACAATTGTTTTGGTCAGTGTTTGGGAGGGAAAAAAATGTTGATAGTAATCTCTGCCATGGAGGCATTTCAGGTGTTTGTTTCATAGTGTTTAACTGCATTTTTTTTTTGAGACAGTTTTGCTGTGTCACCCAGGCCAGAGTCCAGTGGCATGATCTCAGCTCACTGCAACCCCTGCCTCCTGGGCTCAAGTGATTCTCATGCCTCAGCCTCCCAAGTAGCTGGGATTACAGGTGTGTGCCATCACACCCGGCCAATTTTTGTATTTTTAGCAGAGGCAGGGTTATACCATGTTGGTCAGGCTGGTCTTGAACTCCTGACCTCCAGTGATCTGCCCGCCTCAGCCTCCCAAAGTGCTGGGATTATAGGCATGAGCCACCGTGCCCAGCCCGTAACTACATTTTAAACACTTCTCTACAACGATCGTATCTCAGTGTTTTAATTCTCTTAAAATATGTAAAACATGAGAGGAAGAAAAGAACTATTAATGTAATTCTTGAACTTCCGACCTCGTGATCCACCCGCCTTGGCCTCCCAAAGTGCTGGGATTACAGGCGTGAGCCACCGCGCCTGGCCATATTAATGTAATTCATTACAACAGTCTGTCAAAGGAGAGCAGACACATTATCATAACAGTAGAACCTTCAAAGGTTTTACTTTGTTTTTTTTTTTTAAATCAGTCTTAAGGTATAAATTGATAACAATAAAAACAGAGGGTTTAAGTGTGCAGGTCAATGACTTTTGACGAATACATACACCTGTGTAGCTGTGACCCTAGTTGAGACACAGAACATCTCCATCTCCCTGGAAAGTTCTTGTTGCTGTTGCAGCCCACTCCCCTACTCCATACCGGCCCCCTTTGATCTACCTTCAATCTCCATCTGTTAGTTTTGCCTTCAACTCCCGTATGTGACTTACAAAGATACTCTTAGTGCAACTTGAAACAGAAGAATATTTTATTTATGTTGTTCTGTGTATTCTGGCTAGTATAATAAACTAGGAAAAGAAAGTAAGAGTCTTAAATATTGGAAAGGGAGAGAAAAACTTATTTTATTAGTGATATGCTTGCCTTCTTGGAAAATCTAAGCAAATCACTTAGAAAACTGTAAAACAAATGGTAAAGTAGGCCAGTTTCAAAACATCTAAATGAAATAAAATATATACATGAACATACATAAACATGTCTCTATATACTCCCGTACACACTGGAAATAGTCGTTTATAAGGTATAATTTAAAAAGAGATTCCCTTCAAACTATTAACCAGTTTTTAAGTAGTTTCAGAATAATCCTCAAAACAAAATGGGCAAAACCTATACAAATAAACTACAAAGCTTTATAAAGAGAAATAAAAATTTGGAGAGAGAAGTTCCTGAATGGCAAAAGTCAATGTTGTAAAGTTATCAATTCTCTTTCTTTTAGCTTATAAAATTAATACAAATTTTTCTAATAACTAGTGATGGTGAGCATCTTTTCATGTGCTTATTGGCCGTTTGTATGTCTTCTTTGGAAAACTGTCTATTCAAGTCCTTTGCCCATTTTTTAATTAGTTTTTTTGGTTGTTCTGTTGTTGAGTCGTAGTTCCTTATATATTCTGAATATTAATCTCTTATCAGTATATGCTTTGCAAATACTTTCTCCAGTTCTGTAGGATACCTTTTTGCCTTATGTCCTTTAATGCACAGAAGTTTTTAATTTTCATGTAGTTCATCTATTTTTGCTTTTGTCACCTGTGCTTTTGGTATCATATCCAAGAAATCATTGCCAAATCTAATGCCTTGAAACTTTTTGCCTATGTTTTCTTTTGAGACTTTTGTAGTTTGAATTTTTGTTTAGGTCTTTGATTCATTTAGAGTTTATTTTTGTACATGGTGTAACATAAGCATCCAACTTCATTCTTTTGCATGTGGATATTTCGTTTTCCCAGCTCCATTTTTTTGAAGACTCTCCTTTTCCCATTGAATGTCCGTGGCACCCTTGTCATTTGACCATATATTTAAGGGTTTATTTCCAGGATATTTTATTCCATTGATCTCCATGCCTGTCTTTATACCACACCATTTAGATTACTGTAGCTTTATAATAAGTTTCGAAGTCATGAAGTATGAGACCTCCAACCTTGTTCTTTCTTGAGATTGTTTTGGCTATTCAGGGTCCCTTAAATTCCATAGGAATCTATAAATGTATTTTTCTGTTTCATCAAAATACAGCATTTAGTTCTTGTTTGTTTGTTTGTTTGTTTTGAGACAGGGTCACCCAGGCTGGAGTGCAGTGGCACGAACCTGGCTTACTGCAACCTCTGCCTCCCAGGCTCAAGTGATCTTCGCACCTCAGCCTCCTGAGTAGCTGGGACCACAGGCATGAACCACTGCACCTAGCTAATTTTTGTATTTTTTGTAGAGACAGGGTTTCACCATGTTGCCCAGGTTGGTCTCAAACTCCTGAGCTCAAGCTATTTGCCCATTTTGGCCTCCCAAAGTGCTGGGATTACAGGTGTGAGCCACTGTGCTGGCCAGCATTTAGTTTTTTTGCTTAAATATTTTAATGTTTAGGTTTTGATGAGATTGTATTAAATTTGTAGATTCTTCAGCTAGTATTGACATCTTTCTTTTCTTTTCTTTTTTTTTTTTTTTTGAGATGGAGTTTCGCTCCATTGCCCAGGCTGGAGTGCAGTTGTGCCATCTCAACTCACTGCAACCTCCACCTCCCAGATTCAAACAATTCTCCTGCCTCAGCCTCCCAAGTAGCTGGGATTACAGGCACCTGCCACCATGCCTGGCTAATTTTTGTATTTTTAATAGAGAAGTGGTTTCATCATGTTGGCCAGGCTGGTCTTGAACTCCTGACCTCAAGTGATCCACCTACCTCGACCTCCCAAAGTGCTGGGATTACAGGCATGAGCCACCATGCCCAGCCTAGTATTGATATCTTAACAATATTAAGTCTTCCAGTCCATGGATATGGTATGTCTTTTCATTTATTTGTGTCTTCTTGAATTTCTTCAGAAACACTTTGTGGTTTTTAGTGTACTAGTCTTTTGCCTTCTTGGTTAAGTTAATTCATAAGTATTTTATTCCTTTTGATGCTATTATAAATGGTATTGTTTCTTAGTTCTTTTTTGAATTATTCATTGTTATTGTATAGAAACGCAACTGATTTTTGTTTGTTGATTTTGTATCCTTCATCTTTGCTGAATTCATTTATTATAAAAATTTGTGTGTGTGTGTGTGTGTGTGTGTAATCTTTAGAGTTTTCAGCATATAAGATTACATTATCTGCAAACAGAGGTAATTTTACTTCTTCTTTTCTAATTTGTACACCTTTTACTTTTTTTATTTCTTGCCTAATTTCTCTGACCAGAACTTTTAGTAGTGTGTTAAAAAGAAGTAGTGAAAGCAGGCATCCTTGTCCTGTTCCTGATCTTAGAGCAAAAGTTTGTCTGCCACCATTAACAGTGATGTTTACTGTGGGATTTTCACATATAACCTTTATTATGTTGAGGTAGTTTCCTTTTATTTCTAGTTTGTTGGGTGTTTTTTTTTTTTAATCACAGAAAGGTGTTGAATTTTGTCAGATGCTTTTTCATCATGTGGTTTTTTTTCCCCCCATTGATTCTGTTAACATGGATTGATTGATTTTTGTATGTGGAGCTATCTTGTATTCCAGGAACAAACCCACTTGGTCATGGTGCATAATCCTTTTAATATACTGTTGTATTCAGTTTATTAGTATTTTTTGAAGATTTTTGCATCAATATCCAGCAGATATTGGTCTGTAGTTTTTCTTCTAGTGTCTTTGTCTGGCTTTGGTATTAGGGTAACACTGTTTCATAGGATGAATTTGGAAGTATTTCTCCCTCTTCAATTCTTTGGGACAGTTTATGGAGGATTGGTGTTAATTTTTCTTTAAATGTTTGGTAGAATTCACTAGTGAAGGCTTCTGGTCCTGGGTTTTCTTTGTTGGGAGATTTTAATTACTGATTTCATTTTCTTAGTTTTCAGTATATTCAGATTTTGTATTTCCCATGATTCAGTCCTGGTAAATTGTTTCTCGAGGAATATATCCATTTTAATTAGGCTGCCTAGTGTGTTTGGATACAATTTCCTTTCTTGTATTCCTTTTTATTTCTGTAGAATCAGTAGTTTTGTCCCATTTTCATTTTTAATTATAGTTTTTTGAGACTTCTTTTTTTTCTTAGTCAATTTAGCTAAAGGCTTTTGAATTGATTTTTTTTTTTTTGAGGAACCAATCAATTCTTAGTTTCATTGATTTTTCTCTGTTATTTTTCTGTTCTCTATTTTATTTATCCCTGCTATAATCTTTATTATTTCCTTCTTTCTGTGAACTTTAGGTTTAGTTTGCTCTTTTCTTAGTTTCTTAAGGTATAAGTTTAGGTGGTTTATTTGAGGTCTTCTTTTTTTAATGGAATTGATTACAGCTATAAATTTCCCTTTAAAACTGCTTTCACTGCATCCTATAAATTATGATGTGTTGTATTTTCATTTTCATTTGTCTTGAGATATTTTCTAATTTACTTTGGAATTTTTTTTTGGACCCACTGGTTGTTCAAGTGTATGTTGCTTGATTTCCACATTTTTGGAGATACTTCTGTTGTCTTTCTATTGATTTCTAGTTTTACTCCCTTGTGATTGGAAAATATACTCTGTATGATTTTTTTTTTTTTTTTTTTTTTTTTTTTTGAGATGGAGTCTCGCTCTGTCGCCCAGGCTGGAGTGCAGTGGCGTCATCTTGGCTCACTGCAAGCTCCGCCTCCCGGGTTCACGCCATTCTTCTGCCTCAGCCTCCTGAGTAGCTGGGACTACAGGCGCCCACCACTACGCCCGGCTAATTTTTTTGTATTTTTAGTAGAGATGGGGTTTCACTGTGTTATCCAGGATGGTCTCGATCTCCTGACCTCGTGATCCACCCGTCTCGGCCTCCCAAAGTGCTGGGATTACAGGCGTGAGCCACTGCGCCCGGCCCTCTGTATGATTTTAATCTTCTTAAATATATTAAGACTGGTTTCATGGCCTAATATACGATCTGTCTTGGAGAATGTTTCATGTTCACATTTCATTGAGAAAAATGTGTATTCTTCCATTGTTCGGTGGAGTGTTTTGTATATTTTCTTTTAGGTCCAGTCAGTTCCTAGTGTTATTCAAACCGTCTGTTTCCTTACTGATCTTCTGTCTGGTTGTTGTATTCATCATTGATGATGTGGTATTGAAGTCTCCAACTATTATTGAACACCTCTCTGTTTCTTTCTTCAGTTCTGTCAGTGTTTGCATCATGTATTTTGGGAACTTTGATGTTTGGTAAAACATGTTTCACTATTTGTAATTGTTCTATCTTTGGAATGATTTCATCCTTGTATCATTGCATAATGTCTTTCTTTGTATCTTGCAATGGTTTTTGACTTAAAGTCCATTTTGTCTCATATTAGCATAGCCACCTCTGCCCTCTTTTGCTACTCTTCGCATGGAATATCTTATAGCATCTTTTCACAATAAACCTTTGTGTGTCCTTAAATCTAAAGTGAATTTCTTATAGACAACATATAGTTGAATCCTGTTTTTTGTTTTGTTTTGTTCTTAATCCATTCTGCTAGTTTTTGTATTTTGATTGAGGGATTTAACCCATTTACATTGAAAGTAATTACTGATAGGAAAGGACTTACCGTTGCAATTTTATTTGTTTTCTGTGTCTTAATAGCTTTTTTGTCTCTTATTTCTTCCCTATTGCCTTCCTCTGGGGTGTTTTTTTTTTGTTTTTTTGTTTTTTTGTTTTTTTTTGCAGTGATATGTTTTGATTGCCTTCTTAGTTCCTTTTTGTTTATATTTTATAAATGTTTTCTTTGTAGTTACCATGAGGATTACATACAACATCCTAAAGTTATTACAATTTACCTTAAACTGATAGCAGCTTAACTTCAATTGCATATAAAACTCTACTGTTTATAGCTCTGCCTCTGAACTTGGTTATTGATCTCATAAAGTATATCTTTTTATATTGTGTACCTATTAAATATATATTTTTATGCTTTTGTGTTTTAAATGCTTATAAAATTTTTTACAAACCAATTTTAAAATAATACAATTTTTAATACTTTTTTGTGCATTTACCTTTATTGGAGAATATTATATTTTCATTTGGCTTCAAGTTCCTGTCTGGCATTCTTTCATTTCAACTTGAATGACTCTCTTTACCATTTCTTGTAGGGCAGATCTAGTAATAATGAACTCCCTTAGCTTTTATTTAGGAATTTCTTAATTTTTCCCTCATTTGTGTAAAATAGTTTTGCCAGATACAGAATTCTCAGTTGACAGGTGTTTTTATCCAGCACTGTAAATATATTAATATTACCTCTGGACTGCAAGTTTATGCTGAGAAATCCACTGATGATTTTATTGAGGATCTTTTGTATGTTATGAGTCTCTTTCCTCTGTTGGCTTTGAAGATTCTCTTTTTGTTTTTGACTTTCAAATAGTTTGTTTATAATGTGTCTCAGTATTGATCTTTTTGAGTTTATCCTACTTGGAATTCATATACCTTACATTTCTATATTCATATCTTTTTTTTTTTTCAAATTTGGGAAGTTTTTGGCCATCATTTCTTCAAATAAGCTCTCTGCCCACTTATCTCTTTCCTTTCTGGAATTCCAAATTGTATGTATTACAATTGAGTGTTCTGTAATTCCATTAAGTTTTATTCACTTTTCTTAAATCTTATTTATTTTTGTTCTTTCAGACTTGATAAATTCAAATGACCTGTTTTCAAATTTGCTCATTCTTCAGACTTTTAGAGTTTGCTGTTGAACCTCTGTAAAGAATTTTTCAATTCAATTATTGTGTTTTTCAGTTCCAGTATTTCTGTTTGGTTCTTTTTTTATGATTTCTGTTTCTTTGTTGATATTTTCATCTTGTTCATATCTGTTTTTTAAATTTCCTAAAGTTATATGTCCTTTAGCTCACTGAACATATTTAAGACAGTTGCTTTAAAGTCTTTGCAAGCTCAAAGACTTTCTTTAGGGTCAGTGTCTGTCAATTTTTTTGTTCCTGTGACTAGACTGTGTTTCACTTTTTTTGGTATCCTTTTTCATCTTTTATTAAAAATTAGGTATTTGCAAAACAGCCATCTCTCCAAATCTTTGCAGACTGGCTCTGTGTAGGGAAAAATCTTCACCAATTAGTCTGGCATGAAGGCTTAAGGTCTTTTCGGGGGTTTTCTGGCATGCATCTCCCAGGGCCTGTGGATGTGCTTTTTCTCTCCAATTCCCCCATATACATGGCTGCTTTTAAATGTCTTAATATCCCTCAGAATGTCAACTCTGCTTCTTCTCAGGGCCTTGACATTCTATTGTGTTCCTCTGTCCATAATCTCTTTCCCCCAGGCACGCATGGGCCTACATTTCCTCCATGAGAACTCTAATATGTTGGGCACCTCTGTGGCCTTCATCCTAATGTCCAAACTGTGTCACCATTTCCATTTGCTTTTGAGAGACAGACAGAAACCAGTTACTTGGGCAGCCCTCAGGCAAGCCAGAGGATAGCCAGCAGGTTCTATTCCTTTCTTTCCTTCTTTCTTTCTAGGATTAGGTGGTTCCTCCCAACTGCACCATGCTGTGTGGAGGAGGGGGTGGTGCAAGGGCAAGCAGAAACACCATGGAATTCCCTACTGGTTTGAGGGTGGCTTTTTCTTGGTTGGATTTTCTCTTGGTTGCTGCAGATCTTAACTGGTTTCTGAGCTGCCTCAAAGCTATTTTGGTCACTCTGTGTTGCTTATTTGATGTGTCTGTGCGGAAACAAGGGCCTGGAGGTGCCTATTCACCATCTTGCTGGTGCCACTCTTTGTCAGCTTCCTTTTAAATTTATTTTTGTTTTGATTGAGTACATCCTCTAGTAATTGTTTTAGATAAGATTTGTTGGAAGTAAACTTTGGACATTTGGAGTAGGAAAATGCTTTACTTTTTCCTTACCATTGAATGCCAGCCTGGCTGGCTAGGGAATGCAATGTTCATAGTTATGTTCCTGCAGTACTGAAGTTATACTTTCAGTATCTTCTTGTGCCCAGTGTTGCTGATGGAAGCCTGCGCCCTTTTGAGTCTCATTTCTTTTAGGTAATTTGTTTATCTTTCTATCTGGACTTTTTGGAGATTTTTTTCTTTTATCATCTGTGTTATGGAATTTCACCATGATGTCTCTGGCATAGAGTTTTTCGCATTATCTTGCATGTATCTTGGAGTTTTTCAATCTAAAGACATCTGTCTTCAGCTCTATAGAAAACTTTATTATTTTTTGTATTTTTATATTCATTCCCCCACCCCCCCTCCATAACTCCTATTTGGGTACATATTGTAGTTTCTGAGTCTACCTTTTGAGTTTCTTAACTCTCTTTTCATACTCCCTACATTTCTGCTAGAATTCTTCTGCTCCATTTAATTTTTCACTGATTCACTCTTCATCACTCTGTCTCTTCAACCACTGTGCTATTGAAGTCATCTAATGAAAAGATTTTGTTTTTGTTTTTTATTTTAAATTTAGAGATTAAGTATGTACTTTCTGGAATCTTAAAAATTATCTTTTTATTTATGAAGGACCATTCTCTGACATCTCATTTAATTAACTTATCCTAGATACTTATTCAGTTTCATACTTTGATTCTGTTTCCCTAGATTTTGTACTTCCATTGGTTGACTTTGTTGAGTTTCAAACTCAGAGGCTTGTGGCTTGCCTTTAGTGAAGAGGTGCTTGTGCATCATTTTATTTTAGATTTACACTTACCTCGTAGATCTGTGAATACTGCCCTTAGAGGAGGCTCCAATCTAAAGATTGGAGGGAGGGCACTCAGAATGTGTTGACTAGACTGTGCCAGTAACTCTTTTCATGGGTAAGGGGGCTCTGTGTCCCTCTTGTCATGGTCACTTGGGGCACTGCCCTGCCTCTCTGACCCCAACACTCTCGCTGCATCTGCTTGGAGCCAGGCCAGGTGGCCACATCTCATTCTTGGCACAAACCAAGCAGGCAGGGGAAAGGTCAACCCTCCTTGAAGCTCCTGCAGAGGTATCTGCAGCAAATGCCCTTTCAGCTGCTCCAGGCTCCCTTCTGCTCGCATTATCCCCAGGACTACCTCTGCCTTTTGCAATAGGCCTTTCCTCTGTCGTTTTCAGTTATGAATTCTCTCGTCAACCCAATTTGTCACTTTCCATTCTTCAGGGATTCCTTTTCATTTCTGTTACAGCATAGATACCTCTTCTTGTTTTCCAGCACTCTTGTGCATTTTAAAAACGATCTCCTCAATGCTAGAATGAATCCTGTGATGCTGGATTAGAGTTGGAAATAAGCATGAACTCAAGTTCATTGTAATATGTATGTAGATAGATATTTATGACATGTATAGATGCATAGATAGTTACTATATTCTTGAGGTTAAAAGCCAGCACCCATATTTATTCTGTTGCTGAAATGGTTCTAGCTCAGATGGCTCCTGCTTCCTGACATGCCCCACCCGCTCTTGGGCACTCCCTTACTTTTTGGCACTGTCAGATACTCCAGGTACACACCTTATATTTTCCTTGCCCTGGCCCTAATGAGCCATTTTCCTAAGGAAGCTGGCTCCTTTTATTGAAGAACTGAATTTAGCAAACAAGATCTGGGCAGTGGGTGTACTTGTTGCTCCTGGGATGCCACACTTCTAGTTCCTCTCAGTGCACTGAACTAGGAAACGTATGTATGTATATATGCCAACCTGTGTATGTACACATATCCACAGATAAGATCCCTTAATACATTATTAGAGTGTGGGACTTTAAAGAGAAGTAGGATCTTTGCATAGCCTCAAAGTATCTCTTTTAAATATGTGTGGATTGTCTGGTTGTTTTAACGTATGTCCTCAAATCTTGGATATACTGCCTTAGAGGAGCTAAAGCTTAATTCCTTCCCCTTGAGTGTGGGCAAGACCTAACGACTCATTTCTAACTGAGAGTATAGGAAGCAAAAAAATAGTGTTTGCAGTGGAGAAACCTGGCAGACGCCACCTCAGCAGTGACCTGGGTCAGCAGTATTGGTGACAAGTCTCGCTGCTATCACCCATGACAGGGTGCACAGTGGAGGCACCTCACCTCACTGGTCTTCTACCTCAAAATGCACAATCTCAGTTTAACCATGAGGAAGCCTCAGGGAAACCCAAATTGAGAGACATCCCATAAAATAGCTGATTTGTATTCTTCTACAATGAGATTCAGGAGCTGTGGCTAAATGCAATGGGCAATCCTGATTTATTTCCTGGAACATAAAAAAGGACATTAGTGAGAAAACTGGGGACATATGAATACATTCTATAGTTTAGTTATTAGTGTTGTACCAGTGTTCAATTTTTAGTTTGGTGACTGTGTTAGCCCATTTGTGTTGCTCTAAAGGAATACTTGAGACTGGGTAATTTATAAAGAAAAGAGGTTTATTTGGCATATAGTGCTGCAGGCTGAACAGGAAGCATGGTGCCAGCATCTGCTTCTGGTGAGGGCTTTAGGAAGCTTCCAATTATTGTGGAAGCTGAAGGGGAGCCAGTGTGTCACATGGTGAGAGACGGAGCGAGAGGGAGGGAGGAGGTGCTAAACTCTTAATCAGCTCCCATGTGAACTCAGAGCAAGAACTCACTCATTACCATGAGGAGGGCACCCAGCCAATCATGAAGGATCCACCCCCATGACCCAAACACCTCCCACCAGGCCCCACCTCCAACACTGGGGATCACATTTCAACATGAGATTTGGAAGGGATAAATATCCAAACCAGATCATTCTTTCCCTGGCCTACCAAATATCTTATTCTTCTCCCATTACAAAATACAATCATCCCTTTCCAGTAGTCCCCAAAAGTCTTAACTCATTCCAGCACCAACTCAATCAAAAGTCCAATGTCTCATCTGAAACCGAGTGCACATTTCTTCCACTTATGAGTGATTTACTCCCAAGATGCAATGGTAGTACAGGCATTAGGTAAACATTCTTATTCCAAAAGGCAGAAATCAGTTGAAAGAAAGGAACAACAGGCCCCATGCAAGTCTGAAGCCCAGCAGACAGGCATTACATTTTAAAGCTCCGTAATAATCTCCCTTGACTCCATGTCCTGCGTTCAGGGCACACTGGTGTGAGAGGTGGGCTCCCAAGGCCTCTGGACTTCTCTACCCCTGTGGCTTTCCAGGGTGCAGCCTCTGTGGCTGCTGTCATAGTGGGAATTGAGTGCCTGCAGCTTTTCCAGGCACATGGTACAAGCTGGCTGGTGGCTCTACTATTCTAGGGTATGGAGGGTGGTGGTCTCCTTCCCAAGCTCCACTAGGCATTGGCCAAGTGGGGGCTTTGTGTGGCCTCTAACCCCCATTTCCCCTTGATACTGCCCTAGTAGGGTTTCTCCGTGGGGGCTCTGCCCCAGTGGCAGGCTTCTATCTGGGCACCCAGGCTTTCACATACATCCTTTGAAATCTAGGTGGAAGCAGCCAAACCTCCTTCACTCTTGCATTCCATGCACTGACAGACTTTACACCACTGGGAGCCACCAAGGTGTAAGACTTGCATCCTCTGAAGCAGCAGCCGAAGCTGTACTTGATGTTCTTTGAGCCATGGCTGAAGCTGGAACAGCCAGGGATGTTGGGAGCAGTGTCCCAGGGCTGTGTAGGGAAGCAGTGCCCTGGCCCCAAAACCATTCTTTCCTCCTAAGCCACTGGACCTGTGATGGGAGGGGCTGCCTCAAAAATCTGAAATGCCTTCAAGGCTTTTTTCCCATTGTGTTGACTATCAGCACTGGTTCCCTTTTCTCTCTAGAAAGTGGTTGCTCTTTAGGCCCCTTTGATTCCTTTTCTACCACAGGACCAGGCTGCAAATTTTTCAAAAATGTATGCTCTGCTTTTCTTTTAAATATAAGTTTCAACTTTTAGTCATTCATTTGCCCCCACATCTGTTTTTAGGTTGTTAGAAGCAGCCACACCACATCTTGAGAAATTTGCTCCTTAGAAATTTCTCCTGCCTGATACCCTAAGACAGCACTCCTAAGTTCAACCTTCCACAAATCCCTAGAGCCTGGGCACAGTGCAGCCAAGTTCCATGCTAAGGTGTAACAAGGGTGACCTTTTCTCTAGTTCCCAATAACTTTGTCATTTCCACCTGAGACCTCATCAGCCTGGCCTTCTCTGTCCATATCTCTATCAGCATTTTGGCCAAAACCATTTAACAAGTCTGTACGAAGTTCCAAACTTTCCCTTATCTTCCTGTCTTCTTCTGAGCCCTCCAAATTCTACAGGCTGTACAAGAATCATAGTGGTGGCATCTGCTTCTGGGGAGGCCTCAGGAAGCTTCCATTCATGGTGGAGGCGAAGGGGAGCAGGCATCACATGGCAAGAGAGGGAGCAGGAGAAGGGAAGGAGGTGCTAGACTCTTAAACAATTAGCTGTCATGTGAACTCAGAGTGAGAATTCACTCATTACTATGAGAAGGGCACCAAGCCATTCATGAGGGATCTGCCCCCATGACCCAGACACCTTCCATCAGATCCTACCTCCAATACTGGGGATCACATTTCCACATGAGATTTGGAGGAGACACACATCCAAACCATATGCGTGACTGTCTCAGGTTATATAAGTATTATCAGGAGAGGTTGGGTGCAGGGTATGTAGGAGCTCTCTCTGTTGACTTTGAAACTTTTCTGAAGTCTAAAATTATTCCCAAATAAAATGTTAAAGGATTGTCTTACCCCAATCTGGAAAGGAGAAGGATAGCAAAACAGATGTTCCATCTTCCATCTTAATCCAGTAAGTGTATTTTGTTATTAGAAAAAAATACAGAAAGTAATGACAAATTATGTGAGTGAGCTAAATATCCTTCTGAAGGGATGAGTCATTGGATAGGTCAGGATCCTGGCAGGAGAGAGGTGATATACAGGTGGGCAGTGAGCGGAGTTTCAGGAAGGGTTCATTCAGGAAACCAAGAAGAGGCAGCGAAGCACCCCAGGACTCACACCCACAGGGAGTGAGTATCACTCCAGTTCTCAAGGGGCAGAGGGAAGAAAGGCAGTTTCCAGATCCTGGCGGGTGGGGTTGGGGCTGTGCGTGTAGCTGTAGGTGAAGGCTGACCCACCAGAGCTGTGGGTTTGGGTGGAAGATTACAGCCCCTGCCCCATAGGAAGGGTGCAGGGGTCATACACCCCAAACTCACTGTTGGGCCTCCAGTATCCTCCCAATGGCTCCCCATTGGCCAGAACCAACCAGAAGTGAAAGGGCAAGGGGGGTGTGTTGAGCTTGTTGATGCCATCCTTACAGGGCAGCCTCACAGGCCCAGAGCTGGTGCAAGGGAGAGCAGGCCCGAGGCGTGCATGGAGAATACTTGGCGCTGGCGCCCCGAGTCAGTGAAAGCAGGCTGTTTTACGTAGACAATAAGGAAAGGCTTAGAAAATCTAGAACGGAGACAGGATCCTGTGAGATTTTTCGTAGAAGCCTGGAATTGTCAGATTCAAAGAAGTTTTTTAAAAAATTCAATGAAATCTTAAATGCACATCGAGGAAGGGCCTCTGTGAAACCCTTCTATTGAGGAAAATCTGGGTTGCTCTCTGTAGATGCTCCTGCCTCCCACTGGTTTTCTCTTTGAACTCTTCATTCCTATTCAGACTGGCCCCATGCCTGCAGCTATTTCCCCTGATATCTCTAGGACCTCCATTCCAGGGCAGAAAAATATCCCTACCTGATGGAGACCTGCTCCCCCGAGAGCCCCCTCGTGGGTGGCGACAAACACTCCTTCCTTGACCAAACCCAAGTCAGGCTCCTCTGAGCTGTCTTCTCCACTTGCCTTCTGGCTCTGTTCTAGAGAAGAGCCCTGCTAAGCCGGTTTACTGGAAATCCCCTACCCTGATATCCAGCCAGGCTCTTCTTCTCCACTCTTGGTATCTGATCATAGTGCTCCCTCCATCCTTGATACCCAACTGAATTCACTTAGTAATTTCCATCGGCTCCCTTGCCCTGCGCATTGGCTTTTCACCCTCAGTTATCCCTGTAGTGTTCAGCGTTGATTTCGCTCTTTCTCCCTCATGGCAATAGTCTTGGAGGAGGTCCTCTGCTGTTTTTGACAAGCGTCAGGATTGTTTCTCTTAGGTAGCGGTCTGTGTTCCTCCACCCAAACCCGCAGCTCCTGTGGCTCCTGTTGGCCTGGCTGGCATGCTGCTTCCTGTCTGTCCCATCTCGCCTCCTTCCCTCCTCATCACCAGCTTGGTCAGCCCTGGGAAACGTAGTGTTCAGTGGTCTTCTCTATACTAAATCCCACCACCATCCTGGAAGGTTTCAGCATCCACAGGGATGACTCATCCACAACCCAAGCCTCCGAGTTTTTGGACAGCTCAGCTCTGGTGAGTGCCACCTTCAGTCCACTCCAGCCACCCTGGCCCAGAAATACTCTGGACACTCTGAAATCTTAATCCCTTTACACCCTACCTCTTGCCATACTTCTTCCCCTCTCATGTCTCTCTCTCCCACCTCTGTGGATGTCTGAGCTCCTCAGCCTCCTGCCCTCACCGCTTTACCTCTTGGTCTCACTTCCTGCTTTGTGCAGCCTTCGCTCAGTGATGTGCTCCTGGATGCCAGTGATGGACTCAGGCTCACATGCACAGCAAGGGCCAGGCTGCCACGTGGGCTGTACAGGCTATAGATGTGTACTTTTATTTTAACTGTTTTATAGATGATAAAAAATATTTTGAGAAAGGAGTGTCTTTTCCGACTCATACTCAGAAATCATATGGGCCAGCACAAGTCCCTTATCTGATAAGATCAGCACCCAGGTTGGAGCTGGTTGATTAATAGAAAACATGAGTTGAAGCAGCAGACAGGCACACTTAGGTCTCAGTGAACACACAGTGCAGCTGCAGAGCAGAAGAGGGGTGAGTCATTGGCCACTCGTGCTCAGCACGCCCTGGGTTCCACTGAGTCTCTACCCTGCCTCCTTCCCTTACTGTTCAAACAGGGACACCTGCGGTGGGTGTCATATCTACTCAAGAGTGGACTGAGGCCTAACCACAGTCAGGTGCCGCATCCCAGATGTCAGTCGTGCTGAAGACAAAAAGGCTCCCCTTCTCTGTGAAAAGAAAATGAATTATCAAGTGTGTTAGCAGTAGGCACATTTTTATATTTTTCTCCTTGGAGTTCAGGAACTTAATGAACTGAGTTTAAGGAATCTAGGAAAATATATTTGCTTTGAAAACTTTTCTGATTTATGTCTTGAATTTTGTTGGTAAGTGTTATGCTGTTAGGAGCCAAAAACCATTTTTAAAGGATAAAGTCATATTTATGATCTCAGTTTTTTATCCTAAGAGAAGAGAGACTTATATGTGTTCCTTAAATGGGATGATTTTGCCAAGGTGACATTGAGCGGATTGGTGGTCATTGGAGATAAGGCTAGCTTCAGGGTAGAGGAGGGTGTTGTAGGTGGCAGGGGGACCTGGCCAAAGACTGGGCTTCACAGTAGGAGGCCTTGACTGAGGTCTGCACATGAGTTTGAGAGCTAGAAATGGCCTTCAAATTGCTGGTAACATGAATGCCTGTGTGTGTGCATGCATGTGTGCCTCTATGCATTGTGTGGCTGTGTGTGCCTGTGTGTGTACCGCTGTGTGTGTGCAGGTGGTGCAGTCATATGCTTGCATGGTCATGGAGGACTGATCCATGACCCCCATCCAGTTCTCAAAGGGGTCTGTGCCCTAACGTTTCTCCCCACTCCCCGTATAAGAAGGCCAGGTCGCTGTTTGGAGAGCTGAGCAGAGGAATTTTTTTCTGACGCTGATGAAATGGTATTTGTTGATTTCTTCCCTGAGAGACTGCCTTTCCCAGGAAGGGTTGACCTGGCTTTGGGCCTAGCCAGTCCTACCTTTGTCCTTTTCTCTTCATTCTAGGCCAACACTGGACAAATTGATGACCCCCAGGAGCAGCACAGAGTCATCAGCAGCAACCTGGCCCTCATCCAGGTGAGTCTTCACCTTGTCCGACCCTCCCTTCTGAATCTGCAGCCAGGCTTCCCCAGGTGGGAAGGGTGAAGGCTAAGCGAGCTCTTGTCCCTGCACTCTGGCCTGAACTTTGAGAACAGGTAGCTACCTGTCCCTCCCACATCCAATAGACCACATTCACGCAGCTTCTGGAGGCTCAGCCCACCTGAAGCAGACCCAGGGTTGTCCCTCCAGCTTCCCCACTCCCTCCTTTCCAAGCCCCACTTCTTGAAAGACTCACCTGTACTTGCTCCTTCTCTGTCTCATGGACTGCACAGTGCTAACAGGCTTCTCTTGCCTCTAATTGTGCTTCTCAGGCCACAGGTGTTCCCCTAACTGAGGCAACCTGTAATTGCCTCTTACATGTGATCTTACTTTTTCTGGGCATCTGTAGATCCTTCCTGCCTGGAAATCCTCCCTTGGCTCTGCTCCTGCCTCTCTGCCTGCTCCTTCTCAGCCTGCAAGAGACATCTTAACCCCTTAGCTGCTTCATGCTCCTCTCACTCACACATCCTTCTCCTTCTCCCAGGTCCCAGTTCCACTGAGCTCTTATCCTGGGACCTTGCCACAGAGTGTCACTAAGTTAGGAGGCCCAAGGCAGGGGGAGATGAGGAAAAGATTGGCTCAGAGGCAAGAGGAGAGGCTGGGCCTGGACATAGACAGGAGGTAGCTTTATCCTAGACCCTTCTGGGCCTCTCTGAGTTGGGGTGGTCTGTGACAGCACTGAGAATATGGACCCTGAGATCAGATCAGCCCATTGTTTATCCACTGGATAGCCTTGAACAGGGCTGACTCCCCCATCCATCACATTAGAATGATACCTACTTTATCCCGCACCTGGGTTCCAGAACCAGTACATCTAACTGTACGGGGCATCTCCATCTGCCTGTCCCAGAGGCACCCCCAAAACAGCCAAGTCTGGCCTCATTGTCTTCTCTCCCCATACTCACCTCTGCTAAAGTCCCCAACTCAGTCTAGTGTGATGGTTGAAAGCTCACTTTGGGAATCAGCCCACTGAGGGGCCTCAGGCAAGTCACTTCACCTTACCTGTGCAGGGTTGTTGTGAAGTTGTCACCATGTCAGAATGTGGCATCTGGCTGGCACCTGGACATCACCCTGTCCTGTCAGCTGTGCCTTGTGGATGGTCCTTCCCAGTAACCACACCAGAAACCAAGTCACCCCAGCTGCTTCTCAGCATGCAGTCGCTTTGAGGCTTCTGCCTCCGAGTTGTGCATGAATTCCGCTTCTCCTCCTCCTCCCCTGCCTGGATAGTGGCAGACCTCCACACTGCTCTAGGCACTCCCAGGCCAGGAATCCTCCAGCTCCTCCTGGCCACCTGGGTGGCCTTTCTAAAACCCAGTCAGTTATGCCTCCTCTCCTTCACTGGCTCCTCTCGTCCAACTGTGGGCCTGGCCGCGCTGTCTTACCAGCTTCCTGCCCAGCCCCCACCCCTTCACACCTCCCTGCCGTGCATCTTCAGCCACCTCTCCTGGGAAGGTCCTTTCTCCTCTAGTTCAGCTGCCAGTGAAGTTCGTTAAAGGCTCCACTCAGGTGTAAGTTCCTACCTAACACCAGGTGTATCTCTTTCTGCCTTTTACGTCTTTGGTGCCTTATGCATGCTGCTGCGGCTGCCCTGATTGTAGTTGTGTGTTTACATGTCTGCTGCCCACAGCTAAGCTGAGTCTTACGGGCTAGCACCATGTCCTGTGGCTGAGGAACTGCAGAGTTGAATGAGATGCTGGGGATGCCTCTAACACAAGGTCTAGCAAGGGGCAGGTAATAAATGCCTCGACTACAAGTCACACTGGTTGTACTTTGCTGTTTTCCATAAAATCTTTGTCCATATGGATGTGCATTTCCACATAATTGATTCTCAACATATGTTTATGAAGCCCTGCTCAGGGACAGGCACTGGCTTGGTGTATAGTCCCAATCCTAGCATGAATGTAATTTTGTCTCCTCCATTTTTAAAAAAGCTTAATTAACTCTGAATCATCAGCAGTGCAATAAGTTTTATTCATTGGACTTTTTAAGAACTTCAGCATATTCTGTCGTATAAATGTGGGGAGGCAGCAGTGACCAAAGGGCAGCCACTAAGAGCCGGTCCCCTGGGAGTCCACTCAGCACCAGCCCTGCCCACTTCCCTGAACCCTGCCACTGAGCGGGGCCTTGAGGTCTTCCTAGCCTTTGACTTACTTGAAAGATTATACTGCAATGAAAGTATCTTTGTGCATGAAATTCCTAAGATAACTTCCCACAAGTTCAAAGGGTATGAACAGTTCAAAGCTCTAGATTTCCCTCCAAAATGACTAAAAATTATTTTATTTCTTAGTATTAAATAATTAGCCCTACCATTAATATTTGAGCAATATTTGAATCAGTTTCTCTATAACCTCATTAGCATTGAAAATGTTCTTCTAAACTACTTTTTGAATTCACCATATAAATGTGTGTGCCCATAGATAATATATATGGTTTTCTGTATTGTTTAAACATAAAAAGTTTTACACACATAATTCTGTGACTTGTACTTTTGTCTTAATAACGACTTATTGAATAAAAATTACTTCGAGCATGGCAGATAGCACTCAGTAAATATCAGCTGTGAATGCTTTGTACAAATACACAAATGTTTCTTTTGAGAAAATGCTGAATCAGAAGGTATATAGATAAATTGTAGCCAAAGTTTCCCCCTAAATTCCTGTACCAACATTGACCCCCTTCAATGTATAAGAGAACCATTTTCTCACATACTTGTCAATATGTATTTTATATTATCAACTTTTTAAATTTTAATCTTACCTAATCTGATGAATAAACAAAGTATATCTTGTGCATCCATCCATCCATCAACCCAGCCACTCACCCACCGACCTACCTGTCTACTCATCCATTTGTCCATCTGTTTATTTGTCCATCCACCCACCCATTCACCCACCTACCTATTCACCCACACATCTGTCATTCATCCATCTGTCCATTGAGCCTGTATAAGTACCTGCAGAGTGCCAGGCTCTGTGCTCAGAACAGGAGACCCCAGTAGAAAATAAGACAACACTTACCTTTTAAAAGAGGAAGAACAGCATCAGCTGTTAATGAATAAGATACCTTCAAATGGAGATTTTATTTAGAATTTTCCTAACTACTAGAGAAGTTGATCTTTATGCACGTCTGTTATCCCTTTGTATTTTCTTTTCTGTGAGTTGCCTATCCATAACCCTTGTGCATTTTTCTAGTTAGTATCTAGAATAATGAAGTCCAGTGTATAAATGGACTTGTGTATATATGTATAATATATATATAATTATATATTATATATCATATATATTATATGTTATAAAGTTTTATATAACTTAATATATATTGTTTAAACATAAAAGGTTTATAATATACATATATTGAGATTTTATTTAGAATTTTCCTAAAATATAATAACATATATAATATATATTATACATATTATAATTATATATTCTGTATAATATATATTACATATGTATTATATTTATTTTATTTTTTGAAATAGTTTTTATGTTCAGGGGTATGTGTGTGAATGGTATGAAGTAGGGACCCATATTTTTCCCAAACCTAGATATCCAGTTTTTCTTACCCTGTTTAATATTTACCCATTCCATCCTGATTTGCAATGCCACCTTTATCCTGCTATATATTCATGATTACATTCTTATATATTAAATTTTCATATATTCATGGTTCTTTTATGGGGCTGTGTTCTGTCCTGCTGATCTATTTGTTTCTGTCAGGACCACACTGCTTTCATTCCTTCAGCTTTAAAATACACTTTGATCATGAGTATGCCACAACTCCCTCTTTGACCTTTCTCAAAGCTGTCTTAGCTATTCTTGCACAGTTACTCATTTTTGTGAAATTTAAAATGAGTTGTCAAGTGCCGTGAAAGATCTTGTTGGGACTTTGACTGGAATTACATGGATTAACTTGGGGAGCAATTTTTAGCTTTAAAAAACTAGCTCTTTGTATTAGTTCATTTTGCATTGCTATAAAGAAATATCTGAGACTGGGTAATTTATAAAGAAAAGAAGTTTAATTGGCTTATGGTTCCACAGGCTGTACAGGAAGCATGATACTGGGATCTGCTTGGCTTCTGAGGAGTCCTCAGGAAACTTCCAATTATGGTGGGAGACAGAAGGGAAGCCAGCACTTCATGTGGCCAGAGAATGAGCAAGAGAGTGGTGGGGGAGGGAGTGCCACATACTTCTAAAGGACCAGATCTCAGCAGAACTCACTCATTGTAGATGACAGCACCAAGGGGTCACCATGAGAAACCACCCCTGTGATCCAGTCACCTCCCACCTGGCTCCACCTCCAACATTGGGGATTATAATTTGACATGAGATTTGGTGGGGAAACAAATACAAACTATATAATTTCACCCCTGGCCCCCCAAATCTCATGCCTTTCTCACATTGCAAAATATAATCATGGCTTCCTAACAGTCACCCAAAGTCTTAACTCGTTCCAGCATTAACTCAAAAGTCCAAAGTCTCATCTGAGACAAGGCAAGTGCCTTCTAACTATGAGCCTATAATATCAAAAACAAGTTAGTTACTTTCAAGATACAGTGGGGGATACAGGTATTGGGTAAATACTCCCATTTCAAAGGGGAGAAATCAGCCAAAGGAAGGGGTTATGGGCGTCATGCAGAATTGAAACTTAGTGGGGCAGTCATTAAATTTTAAAGCTCCCAAATAATCTCCTTTAACTCCATGTCTCACATCTAGGGCACATTGGTGCAAGGGGTGGGCTCCCAAGTCCTTGGGCAGCTCTGCCTCTGTGGCTTTGCAGGGTTCCGCCCTGTCTGCTGCTCTCATGGGCTGGTATTCAGTGCCTGCAGATTTTCCAGGCTGATGGTGGCAAGATGCTGGTGGAGCTACCATTCTGGGGTCTGGAGGATGGGGACCCTCTTCTCCCAGCTTCACTAGGCAGTGCCCCAGTGGGAACTGTGTGGGGGGCTCCAACCCCACATTTCCCCCAACACTGCCTAGTAGAGGGTCTCCATGAGGGCTGTGCCCCTGCAGCAGGCTTCTGCCTGGATAGCCAGGCTTTTCCATACATCCTCTGAAATCCAGGCGGAGGCTCTGAAGCCTCAACTTTGCACTCTGTGCAACCGCAGGCATAACACATGTGGATGGAACCAAGGCTTATGCGTTGCATCCTCTGAAACAGCAGCCTGACCTATATCTGGGCCCTTTTGAGCCATGACTGGAGCTTGAGCGACTGGGACATGGGACAGAGTGTCCTGAGGCTGTGCAGGGCAGCAGGGGCCCTGGACCTGGCCCATGAAACCATTCTGTCCTCCTAGGCCTCTGGGCCTGTGAGGGGAGGGGCTGCCAATAAGGTCTCTAAGATGTCTTCTAGGCCTTTTCCTATTGTCTTGGCTGTTAGCACTTGGCTCCTTTTTATTTATGTAAATTTCTGCAGCCTGCTTGAATTTCTCCCCTGAAAGTGGGTTTGCCTTTTCTACCGCATGGCCAGGCTGCAAATTTTCCAAACTTTCACTCTCTGCTTCCCCTTTAAATATAAGTTCCAGTTTTGCATCATTTCTTTGCTCATGCATATGAGCATAGTTTATTAGAAACAGCCAGTTCATATCTTGAATGTTTTGCTGCTTAAAAATTTCTTTCACCAGATACCCTAAATCATCATTCTCAAGTTCAAAGTTACACAGATCCCTAGGGCAGGGGTATAATGCAGCCAAGTTCTTTGCTAAAGTGTAACAAAAGGAACCTTTGCTCCAGTTTCCGAAAAGATCCTCATCTCCATCTGAGACCTCATCAGCCTGGCCTTCACTGTCCAAATTATTACCAGAATTTTGGTCACAAACATTTAACAAGTCTTGAGGAAGTTCCAAACATTCCCTTATCTTCCTGTCTTCTTCTGAGCCCTCCAAACTCTTCCACCCTCTGCTCGTTACCTAACTCCAAGGTCGCTTCCACATTTTCAGGTATCTTTATAACAGTGCCCCACTCTTCAGTACCACTTTTCTGTGTTAGTCTGTTCTCACAGTGCTATAAAGAAATATCTGAGACTGGGTAATTTATAAACAAAAGAGGTTTAATTGGCTTACGGTTCCACAGGCTGTACAGCATGGAAGCATGATGCTGGCATCTGCTTAGCTTGTGGAAAAGCCCCAGGAAACTTACAAGCATGGGGGGAATGCAAAGGGGAGTAGCACTTCACACAGCCAAAGAAGGAGCAAGAGAGAGGAACGAGGTGCCACACACTTTTAAATAACCAGAACTCATGAGAACTCATGATCACCGATGACTTCACCAAGGGACAGGGTGGGGGGTGGGGGTGGCGGTGATGTTAAACCATGAGAAACTGCCCCTGTGATCCAATCACCTCCCACCAGGCCCCATCTCCAACATCGGGGATTATAATTCAACATGTGACTTGGTGGGGCTACAGAGCCAAACCATATCACTCTTCTCCCCCTACATGGTGGAGCTCTTTGTTTCTGTGTCCTTCTTTAATAACGTTTCCAGGTCAGCATTTTGGATTAGAGGTGCCAGTGTCGATGTCCAGATCAGGGCAGCTCCTGGCGCAGGCTGTGGTGTGTGTTTGGCAGGACAGAGATGGGAACAGAGCCTGGAAGGGGAGGGTGTGAGCAGGGTGCCAAAGGAGAGACCAAAAGTGTGTGAAGTCCTCCCGTGTGACTGCTCTGTGTCGTGGGGTACACCACATGGCAAGTGAGGTGTGTTGTCTGCACTGCCGGGAGTTGCAGAGGACTTCTGCTCAGACCAGTGAGAGTGGAGTTGCCAGCAAGATACCAGGTGGCCCCTGACCAAAGCCTGAGCAGATGATGGAGAAATAGATTCTGCTCTTGAAGGCAGTGCCTAGCAAGGGAGCAGAGGTGGCCAGCGTGGTTTCGGAGGAGTTGAGTTCAAGGCAGGTGTGGGGTGTGGTATTAGTTTTTCCTGGGGTGAGGGCCTGTGAGATTTTAGGGTAAGGGAAAGGAGGCAGTAGCATGTGGCACCCGGCCCCTTGCGGTGAGTGAGGTGTGAAGGGCAGGGAGTGTGGCTGTGGCCCCGGGGCCCCCCTTCATGCTTCTGATTTCTGTCCAACAGGTGCAGGCCACTGTCGTGGGGCTCTTGGCTGCTGTGGCTGCGCTGCTGTTGGGCGTGGTGTCTCGAGAGGAAGTGGATGTCGCCAAGGTGGAGTTGCTGTGTGCCAGCAGTGTCCTCACTGCCTTCCTTGCAGCCTTTGCCCTGGGTGAGCCATGCCCCAGCTGTGAGCCCCCACCCGCTCCCTGCTCCTCTGAGGTCCCACCTCAGAGCTCATTGTGTTTTCAGTTTCTGGGGGTGTGAGTCCCACTGCTAATGGGACTGATGGTGGGCTCAGGGTTCTCACTGGCAGGGTGGGACGAGCCAGCTGGGTCTTCATGGCCCACCTTGTGCCCTCACCCAGGCAGGGGTGTGTGCCGCTCCTGCCACCACTCGCCTCTGCTCTCTGCTGTGTAAAGACCTGTCCCTGCTCTGCAGGTCTCTTCAGCTGGTCACACTCCCGTGCTGAGGCCTGACACCTGCACAGAGCAGGCTTGTTCATCTGTGCAGTCAGCCTGTTGGTTTTAAACACTTATTGAGCATGACCTTACACACAGGCCTGTGATGGGCTCTGGAGGCTGCAGGTGTCCTGAGGGTAAGGCACAGATTTGAGCTTCCTTTTCATGTCTTCAGAGAGGCCTTTCTAACCTGTCTGAGGAGACTGTGGCTGCTGTGACGGAGCCCCCAGTCAGCGGCTTGGCAGCAGCAGACATTTACTCCTCGTGGGGCTGCAGGCTGGAGCCCGAGGTTGGGCGTCTGCGGGGCTGGGCTCACAGCTGCTCCCTTTGAGGCTGCAGTCGGCCCTTCTCGCTGTCCTCACACAGTGGAGAGAGGTGGGAGCTCTTTGGAGCCTCTTTCATAAGGGCCCTCATCTCATTCGTGGGGCCCCCATCCTCATGACCTCACCTCCCAAAGGCGCCACCTCCTCACCTTGTGGGTGAGGATTTCAACATGTGGGTTAGGGGGACAGCAGTGTTGAGTGCACAGCACCACACTCCCACATGCACCCACGTCCTCTCTCCCCTTCCCATGGGCCCCGGCTCTGCTTGTGTAGCTCAGATTGTCTTGTTGCATCATCTTGCTGCCTCACCTCCCTGCTAAAATGTCAGCTCCTCAAGAGTGGGGACCCAGTAGTTCCCACCTGCTGTCTGCTGCTCCTTTCTCATGCCAAACACAGCTGGTGCTTAACGTGTATCTGCGACACACGGGAGACAGATGCGGGCAGACATACCCCTTCCTTGGGGCTCGCACATGTGCAGGGAAAGCAGTTGCCACACGTTGGCCACGTTGCATGGTTGTCCATTGGTGATTCAGTTGTTGCTGGGTGTCTGCTGTGTGCCTGGCACGGTGTAGTGCTGGGGATATACTGTCAACAAAATGTGTTTTGATTTTATATTCTAGCTCAGGGGCAGACAATAAGCTTATGAATATACAGGACACTAGAGTGAGTGCCACATGTCGCTTTTGTCCTGAGGCCTCCTCTGACCAACACTAAAGTGACCATTCCAGCCATGCTTTACGTTAGTGTCCTGTTTTACTCACCTCACCTCAAATGTGTGTTCACACATGTGTGTACTGTCTCTCCCCACACCCGACAGGCATTTCCACTGATGGGAACAGAGCCTTTTGGTTATTGTCATCACTTAAACCAGGGCCAGGCTTATAACCAGCTTGCAGATGTTCGCTGAATGAATGGACTCTCCTCCAGCTCTCTCCTGGGTCACGTGTCTTTGTGAATCTTCCAGACCACGTGCCTTGCTTTGGTTCAGTGAAAGAAGGAAAAGTTGATAACTTCATAATTGAACCTGTGTTTATACATCCATTCCCCCACCTACTTGCTCAGTCAGTATCCTCTGGGCTCAGCTCTCTGTGGGTTACCCATGTGGGCTATTCTCATTCCTACCAGGCAGCTAATCAGGCCCATTCCTGTGCCAGTGCATGGAGGGTGTAGGCCAGAAGAGGACTGTGCCAAAGCAGGCTGCAGGTTTACAAACCACGTGTCCCTGCTCAGGGTGTTGGCTGAGGCTGGCTCCTAGTCACAGCCTGCGCAGGCATGGACGGATGGTGGATGCCATGACCCAGCCTGGTCCACAGATGGGGCGGGATGAATGTGCCAGACTTTCCAGAGAAGAACAGTCCAGGAGACCCTCAGCATAAAGTCTCCTGAAAACAACACAGTCTGACAGTCCTGAAGGCCAGCCCTGTCTTTGCAGGGACTTGTAGAGAACACCATTCCCAGCTCCCCATTTTACAGAAGGGAAAACTGAGGCCCAGAGATCGGATGAAGCTTAGCAACACAAGCAAAATCTGTATTGTCCATGGCTGTTCAGAAGCATTGCGGTTACCTCACCAGGCAGTGTTGAAGAGGCTATCACAGAAGCCTCAGGGTAGTGGTTTTCAATAGGTGCCCCCAAACCACTGGTGTTCCTTTAAATGGTCCTTGCAAGATTGTCCCCAGCTCACTGAATCAGCGTGCGAACTCGGATTCACTTACAGCTGGCATTCAAAAGGAGACACAGGGCTGTGACTTGTTCACAAGATCAGGCAAGGCACAAACCAGCTTGTAGTGGCAGCTTGAGGATGGCATCAGGTGGTGATTGTAATTATTTTTAGAGTTACAAGATCCTGGGTAAAGTGTTAAAATGCCAATAGCCACAACACAGAGTATCTTCTTAGAGAACCAAGTGAGAGTCTGTTGAGTCAAGTCCTAGGCTGTGGATGGGGACTAGGAGATCACATGTGATAGTCCCCTTCAGAGCACAGTCTGAACAGTCTGAACAGGAAGGAGGACTTCGGAGGCATGGTAGCCACGGAAACGTGAGCCTCACCTCTTCAGTGCTGCCCCCAGAAATCCGCCACCACTGCACGTGCTTCCCAGTGCACCATGGACAGCACCGCTAAGCTCCCAGTGCAGGACTGTTCCTGGGAGACACGGGGCCCTCCGAGTATGCATCTGACAGCCTGGCTGAGCGCACCTAGAAATGCAGTGCAGTCTTAGATGTACCCCACCTTCGCTGCCCCCCTCCCCTGTGCCCTAACTGTGTTGATGTCCTCCAGTGCTCCCAGCTCCCTCCTGCCCTCCCTGTCTTCCCTCACAGGCTTAGTCCCTAATCAATCTCTTACCTAGCTGTTTCCATCTGGATGTCTGCTTCTCAGAGGATGCCAGTAAACACAGGAGGCCATGAGCTCACCCCGAGGGGTTCCATTGCTCCGAGCATCTTTGGAGCAGCCCTCATGCAGCATGGGGCTGTGGGCTGCCTGTCTCTGTGGTTCCTGGTGATTTGGGAGCTCGGGAGCCACGGGTCACTCCTTAGCATCATGTGCACAGGTCACAAAGTGGAGTCCAACTCTCCCAGCCTTCTCAGGCCTCCAGTGTAGTGGGAAGCTCTGAAAGTCAGGGCAGCCTGGCTTCACGTCAAGGACTTTGTGGAGGGAGGCAAGTTAATGAGCAGCCTCCCTGCCACCTGCCAGTCCCTACTCAGTGCCGCCCATCCCTGTGCTGCTGTGCCTGCTCAGAGCCATCTGGCTCCCTGGGATTTGAGTCTGCTGTTTCTCCTCTCTCTCTCTGCAGGGGTGCTGATGGTCTGTATAGTGATTGGTGCTCGAAAGCTCGGGGTCAACCCAGACAACATTGCCACGCCCATTGCAGCCAGCCTGGGAGACCTCATCACACTGTCCATTCTGGCTTTGGTTAGCAGCTTCTTCTACAGACACAAAGGTAAAGAGTGTCTTCTTCTATAGACACAAAGGCTCCGTGGAGGGGGGGCCCTGGAGCAGGTCACCACTGAGGCTGAGTGGGTACTTTTGCACCCAGCCCATGTGCTGTTGTTTGAATGTGTCCCCCACATTTCATGTGTTGGAAACTTAACCCCTAACTTGGCAGTAATGAAAGGTGGGGCCTTTAAAAGGTGATTGAATTAATGGATTGATGGATTAATGAGTTATCATGGGAGTGGGACTGGTGGCTTTATAAGAAGAGGAGGTGAGACCTGAGCTGCACGCTGGGTTCTGTCACCATGTGGTGCCCTGCACCACCTCCAGACCACAGAGTCCCCGCCAGCAAGAAGGCCCTCACCAAATGCTGCCCCTCGACCTTGGGTTCTTCAGCCTCCACAACCATAAGAAATTTCCTTATGAATTATCCAATTTCTGGTATTCCATTATAAGCAAATACACTAAAGCAAAAAATTGATACTGAGAAGTAGGGTGTTACTGATGTCAACCTTAAATAACAATATCCAGATAATATTGTTACCAGCGGTGAGTCCAGCTATCTGGAGAAACTCCAGAATGGCAACTTTGTGGCAATTTCAGTTCTTTGTCTTCTGGAAGGAAAGATTTCAAATGAGAGACACAGGCAAGGTTTAAAGCAGGAGGGAGAATTTATTTTAAGCAAAGCGAGAATTTATTAGAGAGTACACTTGAAGGAGAGCCATGTGGGTGACTTGAAAAATCAAGTGTGTTGTTTGCTTCAGTCACGCCCCCCACATCCATGCCTGGGCAGTTGTTTAAAGGTATTTTGTTCCTAACTGCCTCCCCCATTATCTTCATGTACCTGGAATTTGTGATACAATGAACAATAATATAGCCAATCCATAGCTTATGTTATTTTAATGTAAATTCTTTGTAAACAACTTAGGAACAGCCTCTTCCTTTATCTTTAAAATCCCACTTGTAACTGCTACTAATTGAAGTGTATATTCAGGGCACTTGAATCTATGCTCCCACTGAGCTGTTCTTAAGTTTTGGGCTCAGGTGAACTCTAAACTTAGTCATAGAATAGGGTGTTAGACATGAGCAGGGCAGGAGAGAGGGCCCCCAAGAATGTTGGGCAGTTGTCAAGCCATGGTCAGGCAATTATAAATCTGTCCCCCTGAAATAATGAGCAGGAGAAGGGAGGAACCCCAGAGCTGTCTGGTTCTCATTAAGTAACGGACAGGCAGGCATAAAACCGTCCCTCTAAGATAATAAGTGGCCATGACTGGTGCCTGGAATGACAGGAGTCTTAGAACAGACAGAAGACACCTGGAATTAGCAAGCCATAATCCCCGATAGGGTTTTAAGCATGTGCAGTGAAAGGGCAAGATGGTGAAATTTAACTGGTATATGACCTTCCTCTGGAGCGCTGGACCAGTGAGAACTGCCCCTACTGAGCATGTGCACCACTTCAATAAACACACTGCACATGCAGCTCTCCCAAGTGCTGGCAGGGCCACTGCACATGTGATAGATAAAGGCCCGCCCAGGGGAAGAACAAAAGGAGGACACAGAAAGCCCAGGAAAAGATAGGGGGTATAAAAACTCTAAACAGGCCAGGCGCGGTGGCTCACGCCTGTAATCCCAGCACTTTGGGAGGCCAAGGCGGGCGGATCACGAGGTCAGGAGATCAAGACCATCCTGGCTAACACGGTGAAATCCTGTCTCTACTAAAAATACAAAAAATTAGCAAGGCATGGTGGCGGGCGCCTGTAGTCCCAGCTACTCGGCAGGCTGAGGCAGGAGAATGGCGTGAACCTGGGAGGCGAAGCTTGCAGTGAGCCGGGATAGCGCCACTGTACTCCAGCCTGGGCAACAGAGAGAGACTGTCTCAAAAAAAAAGAAAAAAAAAAACTCTAAACAAAGAAGCAAACAACACACCTGATTTTGACAATCGGTTGAGTTTATCTAAAGACCTGGGATCAATAGAAAGGAATGTCTGTGTTAAGAAAAAGGATTGTGGAGACAGTTGTTATTTGCAGAGAGGAAGCCTTCAGGTAGCAGGCTTCAGAGAGAAGAGATTATAAAATGCTTCTTACCGGACTTAAAGTCTGCATTGATATTAATGCTGGAGAGGGATAATGAGGCATGTCTGACCCCCACTACCCGTCATGGCCTGAACCAGTCTTTCAGGTTACATTTTAAGAGTGCCCTGGCTGAGGAGGAAGTCCATTCAGGTGGTTGGGATGGAGCTTCGAATTTTGTTTTTGGTTTACCTGGTGAACTCTTAGAGAAAATGGAAACGGCGGGAAAATTGGGAAAATTTTTAGCCTGGCCATATGGTAGAGAATGAAAGAGTTTCCAGGAGAGGAATCCAAGGGTGTGACTGAGCCACCAGTTTCTAAGGAGATTAGCATGGCTGAAAGGGAGCTGGGAGCTAATAGTCAAGACAAGGGGGAAAAGGCCCAAAAGCATTTCAGAGATTTTTTGAGGCCCCCCCTCCCATCACAGGCCCAGAAGCCTAGAAAGACGGAATCGTTTCAGGGGACAGGCCCAGGGCATGAGCTTGCTGCCCAGGGCCACCTAGGGACTCTGTTCCCTGTATCCCAGTGCAGCGCTCCTTGGCCATCCCAGTCATGGCTCACACGGCTCGGGTGCAGCTCATGCTGCCGCTCCAGAAGGTACAAGTCATAAACCTAGGTCCATGTGGTGCTAATTGTCCAGACTTGCAGAGAGCAAGGGCCTTGGAAGCTTAGTAGCCACTACCAAGTTTTGGAAGTATTTTGTCCAAAGCCTGGGGGCCCAGACGAAGACTTGTTTCAGGGCTGAAGCCACTGCAGAGTTCCCCTACTAGAGCAGTGCCAAGCAGAAATGTGGGATTCGAGCTGCTCCAGAGTTCCACCAGGACAATGCCTAGTGGAGCCATGGAAGCAGGACTCCCGCCAAGACCCCAGGACTGCAGAGCTGTTAGTGTGCGATTTCAGCCTGGGAGAGCTGGGTGGACTGAGCACTGCACAGCCATGGTTGGAGGTAGGGGGATCTCAGAGGCCTGGGAACCTCAACCCCCACACCAGCGTGTAGAGGATGCCTGGCATGGAGTCAGAGGAGAAAGCTCTGGAGTCATAAGCCCCAGTGTCTGCTCTCTCAGGTTTTGGCCTATTGGTCTTTTCTTTTTGTCCATTTCTTCTTTTTGGATGGGAATGTCTGCCTTATGCCTGTACCACCATTGTATCTTAGAAGCAGGTAGCTTGTTTTGATTTCATAGGCTCACATGTGAGACTCTGGACTTCGGGCTTTTGAGTTGATGCTGGCATAAGTTAAGACTCTGGGCTATGGGGATGGAATGAATGTATTTTGCATGTGAGAAAGACATGAATTTGGGGTACCATGGGTGGAATGCTGTGGTTCGAATGAGTTCCCTAAATTTCATGTGTTGATCCCCAATGTGGCAGTATTGAAAAGTGGGGCCTTTAAGAGGTGATTGGGTCATAAGGGCTCTGCCCTCATGAACAGATTAATCCATTCATGGATTAATAGATTAATGGCTTAATTGGATTAATGAGTTACCATGGGAGTGGGACTGGTGGCTTTAAAAAAGAGGAAGAGAGACCTGAGCTACATGCTCGGTTCCCTCGCCATGTGGTGCCTTGCGCCACCTCCGGACTCTGCAGAGTCCCCACCAGCAAAGAAGGCCCTCACCAGAGGCAGCCTCTCAACCTTGGACTTCTCAGCCATTATAACCGTAAGAACAAATTCGTTTTCTTTAGGAATTACCCAGTTTCGAGTGTTCTGTTATAAGCAACAAAACTGACTAAGACACTGTGACCTTCAAATCAGCCATTATTCCCACAGGAAGGACCCTGCTGTATTACAGTCAAAAATCCTTTTACAGAGGGAAAGCCTGAGGTTATTCCACAAGTTCAAGGAGTGCTCAGGAAAGTGCCTCAAGCTCTCCAAACCATGTTAGGAAGAATAAGCAACTGAAGCCTGCATTTATATGGGTTGTTAACTTCTACCTTTAGGGCAGAGGTGTACTAGGAGGTTGAGTGGGGCCTGAGGCTGGTCGGCCACACTGATGTGTCCTCACAGGATTGGAGGGCAGTGGGCATGCAGTGACAGTTGTTGAAGAAGTGCCCAGACAAAGGGAAGAGCCTCAGCAAAGCTGCAGTTTATCACTCCCCATGGGAATGTAGGCCTAGGGATTTGAGAAAGCATCCCATCTTTACCTGTTGGCAACTGAAGCAGACAAATAAACAGCTGTGATTTAGAGGGTATGGGCACTGGGACCCTTTCTGTCCCAGCTTTGGGACTGTCTTCTTGCCATCCTGGTGTTGCCTGCCAGCAGTGATGTTTAATCACCAGGGAGATTCGCCAAGTTTACTTAAGTGGCAAGGGAGATCTGTAAGAAAGAATAAGATGACCTAACTTTACTTTTAAGCTAAACTAAACTTAAAACAAGAAGATTTGTATATGGGTTATTTGAGTTGGATTTGCAAAATAAGTGAGAGTTCAGGCATCACATGAACCTTTGCCTCTGCCCCAGGCTGTACCGTGTGCTCATTTCCACATGACTTATGATTTAGACACAAAATCACTGTTGGGGCATCTGTCTCTCCAGTGAGACTGTGACCTTCTCTCTGTTGCACTCAGGAGTCACTGGGACTGGCCTGTATTAGATAAATCTTGACCCGCTGAGGTGTGAGCAGCTGACTGTAATACCTGCTGGGTGTAGTTGGGAATTGGCATTGCATATTGGGGAGGTGTGCTGGGGAAAGCATGAGGCAGGCCCTGGGGGTGCTTGTGAGTAGCTAACTGAAAACTCAGACTGGATTCAAAAGCATCGTATAAGGTGATGCTTCTGCAGGCCGCTGTTTCCCAGAGGGTGGGAGACCTGGTTAGAGGTGGCTGGGCCTGGCTTATATCTCCTGCAGAGGCCACGCCCTCCTACCATAAAGTACCTTGTCTGTAGCCAGTCTGGGGCACCTGAGGCAGAGGAATGGGCCATAACCCTTTAGTGCAGAGAAGGAAGGAGCGGATGTTCCTGATAACACCCCCAGAGAGGGAGTACATGGGACACAGACCCATGCCTGGGTACCCCTGAGTGTTGGGCCCCCTTGGCAGGTGAGCCTGCCCTCCAGAGGGTGGGGCTGAGGGTGAGACGACCACTCTAGAGAAAGCCAGTGTCTTGTTCTGTCACTTGTGGGGGACCCTCACACGGAGCACAACACAGAAAGGGAGGAATGAATGCACGAGATGCCCGAGTGTGTCAGGCTTGTCCTGGGCCCCCGCAGCAGTGACTGATCCAGCACCTGCCCAGTCTTCACTGGCCTCTCGCCAGTGGAGAAGATGAGATGGGGACACGAGTAGCTACCCGGCTGGTGACCCTTGGTTGCCTGGGACTGGCCTCAGCCAGGACCATGGGTGGCATCCCATAGCCGGCCCTGGCGTTCCATGGACCCAGGCCATAGCCCTGACGGGGCTGCTTGCTGTCTAGGCAGCCACCCTTTTTTGCACGTCTGCTTCCTCCTGCTGCCTGTCTAAGCAGGGGCTGTCGAGAAGGTGAGATGAGATTGTGCACCCGAAGTACTGAGCATAGTGCTGGCTCATGGTGCATTCCATACATTGTACTTCTATTTATTTATGACAGTAGCATCAGGGTGGGAGGAGGCAGAACAGGGTACTTTATATGGGGAAAATAGCAAGTTTGCCAGAGAAGTGGAGTTGAATGTGGCAGGAATGGAGGACAGAGAGGAGCTTTTCCAGTTACTTCTTGGGATGGTGAAAGTTCTGTGAAAAGTATGGCAAGGCAGTTCCCCCTCAACTGATGAGGACAGGAGCGTCCTCACCCACCTCTCATTTGTGAAACCCAGGCCCAGCCTGTGTGTGCTGGCCTTGGCCACATGAGCTGCGTGTGTCCCTGTTCTCCTTTCAGATAGTCGGTATCTGACGCCGCTGGTCTGCCTCAGCTTTGCGGCTCTGACCCCAGTGTGGGTCCTCATTGCCAAGCAGAGCCCACCCATCGTGAAGATCCTGAAGTTTGGCTGGTTCCCAATCATCCTGGCCATGGTCATCAGCAGGTGAGCAGGAGCCAGGGCCACGGCCCCTCTTCCTCCTCTCAGCCATGAAGGCCCCTAGAACCAGGGTGACACTCACTGCCTTGGGGGACAGGAATGGAGTGAAATGTAGCTGTGGGCTCTTTCAGTAACTCCCATTGCTGATTGAATCATACCTTTTTTCCTTTCTTCTCTCCCTTTCACTGAGAACCCTGGGCCTTGTTGGTTCTAAGAGAGGCTGCCCTGTTTACATTTGCCAGAGCACCAGGGACCCAGGAAGAGCCAAAGCTGGGGCCGGCACTGGAGTGCACTGGAGCCCCAAGGGAGACAGCGGCTTTCAGGCCATTGCCACTAGAGCTTTGCTGGCCCAGATCCCTGCTTAGGTGGCAGGTCCCCCACCTTGGCCTCAAGGCCACATCTGCTGACTCACTCGTCCTCCTGGTCACTGGCCACACATGGCTACTGGTGGGACCTAGACAGCTGTGGGGTTAGCGCCCTTCCAGAGCCTTAGAACCTTCAGCTGAGCCCAGGTCCACCACCCTCCAGCTCCCTCTCAAGGCTCATTTCCTGAGAGTTGACCTTGATGGGGGCCACCCCTGTCCATTCTGATGAGTTTTTCTAACTTTGAGTCTTGGGGAGAAGAGGCGATAGAGTAGGTATCCTTGCTTCCAGGAGGCTCCTGGGCTCCTTATACAGATTGACCTAGCTTCTCCAGGGCTCTAAGAAGTCCCAAGGGGTGGGAAAGCTTTTGCTAAACTACAGTGGCCAGTGGGAGCAAGGTCTGGCTGCAGCATTTTCTGAGAACATGGGGTGGGCATGAGGTGATCCTCCTGCAGGTTCTGTTTTCTGCTAAAGAGCATCTCAGTCGTGGTGCCGGAGTCTTGGGACAGCCCAGCCAGCTGTGTGCTTTTGAAAAGGCATTTGTTAGTTTTGCAATAAGTGGGTGTTCTCGGATGGCCTTCTGCAATGGTTGAGGCTCAAAGTGGAGATGGAAAAGCATGAGCAGGGTGCAAAGGATGCTGGGGAGACCAGTTTGGCCGCAGCAGATATTTTGTGTAGGGGAGAGGAGAGTGACAGCCAAGGATGGGAAGCTGGGCTGAAAGGGTGATTTGTGTGGAGAGTTGCAGGGCCACTGTAAGTGTAAACTCTGATAACTTGACTGCTGTCTGCTATTTCCCCAGTTTCGGAGGACTCATCTTGAGCAAAACCGTTTCTAAACAGCAGTACAAAGGCATGGCGATATTTACCCCCGTCATATGTGGTACGTATTTGAAGGGTTCCCATGTGGTCCCTGGGTTGGGTAGGCCCACAGGATTGGGTTGGACCGGAACAGCAGACCTCAGAGGGGCAGCACCAGCCCCGCACAGGCAGTTGGGCAGCTGAGCCGTGGACAGACTGCTGCCTTACAGGGATGCTGGAGCAGGTCTTCTCAGATGGAAGAAGCCTGGGGAGGAAGCCCCACACACTGTTCGCAGCAGCTCAGACCCGGCTCCTCACAGGCAGCCCTGGGACATAAGCTCTCCTGACAGGACCGAATTCCAGGCTTTGCAGGCACTGAGTCAAACTCCGGCCTCGATGGCACCTGCCAATTGAGCATGGCCTTCAGAACCGGGGCGCTGGCTCTTGTGGCTTTTCTTTTTCCTTTTTTGGATTCATTGCTGACATCAGAACTCAGATATTTACACTTAAAAATCTGGATTTCTTCTTCTTAAAAATTAAGACTGTAACAAATACCGGGTCTCTACCCTGGGCACTGCAGCAGTGCCTGAGACAGATCCAGGACTGTGCTTCCCAGCTGCCTTGATCTCCCCCTTCCCTGTTGTCTGACACCTGGCTCTCTGCACATACTTACCTCCTAGGCCTACACCCTGTGGGGTTTGTGTGGATGACCCCTCTTTTAACCAAAGCTTAGCTTGGTGTCTGGTGTCTGATAAGTTTCTGTAAATGGAAGTGATCAGTTAGGAGAAGAACAAAACATGTTTTGTCCAGTTTAGCCCCCAGGCCCTGGCCTGCAGGGACTGAAGAAACAGCCTTCAGAGGCTCCTAGGCAGCCCCTGCGTGTCCACAGTGTCCCTCCTCCCTTGCTCCCTTAGGGGACCATGTCTTTATTCCTTGCATGTCAGTGGGCCACCCAGCGTGTCCTCACCCCAACAGTGCCAAAGTGCCTTCACATTGTGCATGAGAACAGCAACAGAGGGCTTATTACGTTGGAGTGATTTTTTGGGATGAGTCACCAACTCGGATGCCTTCAGTGGCCAAACAATCTGCATGAATTATGCAGCTAGACAGTGAGAAATGGCAGGGGTAAGCTGCAGAATGCATTTCTCATATGAACAGTGTGGTGCCTGTCCAGCTCCAGCCAGTAGTTGCCTCGGGAGAGTGTAGGTCCAGACTTGCCAGTGCTGACTTGGGAAGAGAAGCTGGGAATCTGTATTAAGGGCCTAATTTGTAAACAGTACCAATTAATTTGAGGTTTTTTTTTCCTTTTTCTTTTTAAAATTATGTATGGGCCAAGCCGAATAGATCGCAGCAGTCCTCTGCCTGAAGACAATTGTTTGCATCCTCTAGAACAGCCTGTGTGGTTGGCCTCTGCCTGAGAGGTCACTGGTGCACACCTGGCCCAGCTAGGGAGAGTTCTCCATGGCACTGAGCAAGTAGGATAGGGGAATCCCCACCTTCCATCAGCCCGCCCCCGCATCTGCCCCCACAGAAGGAATGCTCAGCATGGCCTTTGTCAGCTGGACCATCTGGCCCGGGCAGAGCTTGAAACCTTTTTCATACCCTGTGGGATCCCGGAGTCTCAGCAGGAAGCCCTGGTGTTCCCAGAGACCGCATGTGCTCATGGTTTTCTGGGCCTCATGACTCTGCCTCTAGGGTTCTGTGTTCTATGCCCTGTCAGTCTACACATGACCCCGCTCGTCCTGTTTCCCCTAAAGCCACTTGCTCTGGGCACACACCCAAAGCATCTATGAATGTGGGAGTTTGCACTGACAACTGAGCTCCGAGAGAGGGGCTCACCTAGCACCACAAATTGAAATCATGCAGCAGACAACGTCTTTTCTTCAACGCTCTCAGACCACACAGCCATGAGAGGTGTCCCAGGCATGTCTCCTGCCGCATGCTTGCTTTGCCACCTGCCTGTGATCATCTCTGTCCTCCCCTCACCTTCCCTCTCATTCTTTTTTTTTTTTTGAGACAGAGTCTTACTCTGTCACCCAGGCTGGAGTGCAGTGGCGTGATCTTGGTTCAGTGCAATCTCTGACTCCTGGGTTCAAGTGATTCTCCTGCCTCAGCCTCCTGAGTAGCTGGGATTACAGGTGTGCACCACCATGCCCAGCTAATTTTTTTTGTATTTTTAGTAGAGACAGAGTTTCACCATGTTGGTCAGGCTGGTCTCGAACTCCAGACCTCAAATGATCCACCCACCTCAGCCTCCAAAAGTGCTAGGATTACAGGCATGAGCCACCATGCCTGGCCCCCTCTCATTCTTATCCACTGTCTTCATTCCTCCTCTCTCCTTCCCACCTTGAGTGAAAAAAAAAAAATCACTTTCATTTTCTCAGATATTCCAGGCTGTAGTCTGTTTCCTGTCAATGCCTGTGGCCTTGAGGTCTGACTTATCCAGACTGCCTTATCACACTATTCTCAGACCTTTCTATCCACTCTCCCCTCATCCTTACTTTGTCCCTGGATCCCCTCCCTCCCATCCTCGCTCCAGCCAACAAATACTTATTGAGAACCTACTTTACAGCCGCACTCCCCTCACCTTAAGAGATGCCAGCAGTCAAGGTGATGCAGTTACTCCCTGGATACCTCACTCACAAGCTCTGGGCCACCCTGACTTGCTGCCAAACAAGATCTGTGGTCAAGTGGGAGGAAAGGAAAAGATAATGAAATACTGAATTAACCAAAGAAGACTTCCTGGAGGAAGGGAACTTAAAATAAGGGATACAACTTAGAGACTGGCGTAAAGAAAGGGAAAACAGATTCCTTTTCTCCTCGTAGGTGTTGGTGGCAATCTGGTGGCCATTCAGACCAGCCGAATCTCAACCTACCTGCACATGTGGAGTGCACCTGGCGTCCTGCCCCTCCAGATGAAGAAATTCTGGCCCAACCCGTGTTCTACTTTCTGCACGTCAGGTGGGTGTCATGTCTTTCAGAGGCCATGATAGCCATTTCTTTAAACAAGAAAACATCGGTGTCATTGGAATCTGGTGTTTGTAGCAATGGATGCCTGAAGCCAGGGCTGATCTCGGCACACATCACCTTCAGGGCCCCAGAAATGAGACTCCCCGGCCCTGCCTTTCCTTCATTCCTTCATTCAATTATTTATTGAATGTCCACTGGGCACTAGGTGTTAGGTTAGTGGTGAAACAGGGAGAGCTGATTTCTTGCCCTTGAAGTACACAGTATAGAAGGGCAGATAAACACAAGTGGGCTCGTAATTAAAAATTATGTTGGGTACCGAGCAGCAAAAGTGCAGAGTGCAGTGAAAAAGAATTAGAGGAAATACACTTGGGATAAGGAAGCTCCTCCCTGAGGACAAGTGGGTGTTGTTGGGAGGAGGAGGGCAAGAGAAGAAGGGGCTTTCAGGGCAGTGGGTGCAGTCTAGCAAAGGCCCAGAGGCAGGAAGGAGTGTGGCAAGTCTGAAGAACTGAAAGGCCAATGTGGCCTGAGCTGAATGGACAGGAGGGGATGAAGGAGGCTGAGGCCAGAGAGGCCGGAAGGAGGTGATCCGACAGAGCCTTGGAGTTGAGGAAGGAACCTGGATTCTACTCAGAACCACTGGAAGCTTTTGGAGATGTTGTGTCTTTTTGTTGGCTTTGAAAAATCAGATCTTCTTTCCTGTTACATTGTTTTGGATTTCCTTTCTAAGAACTACCTTTAGCCTTCTTTTGGGTTGGCTGTTGGCACATTTCTGAAGGATATTTTCACTGGTTGTAAAATTCGGTGTCAATAGTTGTTTTCAAACACTTGAAAAATGTGCCACTTCCTTCTGATTCCATGACTTATGATGAGAAATCTGCCATTTCAATTTATTTTGCTGTATAGGTATGGTGCCATTTCTCTCTTGCATATTTCAAGACCTTGTCTTTAGTTTCTAGGAGTTGGATTATGATATGTATTGGTATGGACTTTTTGGGGTTTATCCTATTTGGGGTTTGTTAGGCTCCTTGAACACATGGATTTATATCTTTTGTCAAATCGGAAAATTTAAGCCATCACTTTTTCAGCTGCACTCTCCTTCTTTTTGATATTCTAATGACATGAATGTTAGATCCTCTGTTACAGCCCCACAAGTCCCTGAGACTCTGTTTGGTTTTTGCAAAGTCTATTACTCTCCTTGTTTAGATTGGCTCATTTCTATCACTTTTTTCTCCAAGTTGACTGATCTTTTTTCCCCTGCCCTCTCCATTCTGCTATTGAGCCTATTCACTGAGTTGTCTGGGACTTTTGGGGGTATTGTATGTGTTTAGTTTTAACATTTCCATTTGGTTCTTCTTTCTTTCTATCTTCTTTTTCTTTTCTGAGACTTTCTATTTCTTTGCTTATACTTTCTATTTTTTTGTTTGTTTCAGGTGGGTTTGTGATTGCATGATGAAGGATTGTTGTAGTGGCTTCATTAGAACGGCTTTCAGGTGATGCTGACGTCTGTGTCGTCTCACTCTGCTGTCTGTTGGTTGTCTTTTCTCATCCAGGTTGAGATTTTTCTTGCTCTTGGTAAGATGAGTGATTTTCATTTGAATCCAGACATTTTGGGTATTATGGACAAGACTTTGGATCATGTTTGAATCTCTACTTAGCTGGCTTCCTTTGACACTGCACCACTGGGGAGAAGGGATGGACTGCTGCCCAGGTGGGGATGGAAGACTGGGTTCACCATTCAGCCTCTATTGCTATCCTGGGAGAAGAGGAGCACCTTGTTATTGCTGGGCACAGTGCAATCTAGGTTCCTCACTAGGCCTCCTCTGAGACCACCTTGGCTGGGACAGGGAAAGATGCCTTGTTGTTGCTCCCCACATGGCTTCACTGACAAGGTGGGGGCCCCATTAGCACTGGGTAGAGATGAAAGTTCTGAATCTCACCCTGCCAGCCACAGGAGATGATGGTGGTCCCACCAGGCCTTTCCTGATGAGGTCGGGGCTGCAGTTTTTCCTGTGGTGTTTGTTGGAATAGAGTTTGTTGGAATAGAGTTATTGTCTGAAAGTTGTCTGTTTTGCCGGGCTTCCCCTTTCCTGGCCTTTGGTGAAAAAGATCAGACTTCTATGGAGTCTCTTTTTTTGAGACAGGGTCTCACTCTGTTGCCCAGGCTGGAGTGCAGTGGCGCAATCTTGGCTCACTGCAACCTCCACCTCCCTGGTTCAAGCGATTCTCCTGCCTCAGCCTCCCAAGTAGCTGAGATTACAGGTGTGCGCCACCATACCCAACTAATTTTGTATTTTTAGTAGAGACAGGGTTTCACCATGTTGGCCAGGCTGGTCTCGAACTCCCGACCTCAACTGATTGCCTGCCTTGGCCTCCCAAAGTGTTGGGTTTACAGGCGTGAGCCACAGCGCCTAGCCTATGGAGTGTTTTTTGTCTATTTGTATCTGCATTTCTTGATGGCTGAGGCCAGGACTCAGTCTTGGTTATGTGAGGCAAAGAAAGAAAGAGAAAAAGGACAATTCAGGGGACTCACGACCATGTTGTTCATTGCAGCCCAAGGTCCCCAGCCAGCCTTTCAGAATCTGCTTACGTTTGTTTTATATACAATGTTTAGGGCTTTCAGTTGTACTTAATGGGAGAAATAGGACGAAGTGTGTCTTCCCCATTTGTTCAGAAGTCAGACTCCGTGTTATATTTTCTAACTTGTTATTTGTATATAGAAAAGCTGTTATTTTCTGTGTTGTGCACCTAAACATTTTATTGAATTCTTATTGTTTACATGGTTTTCCTATAGATTTTCTTGAGTTCTCACACCAACTTCCAATAGTAGCTTCTTCCAATCATTTTGCTGCTTCTTTTTGACATTTTTTAAAATAATACTTTTATTCCATGTCTGATTTCTCATCATGAATAGATGTCGTTGCTCTTCTGCACTAGCTTTGAGCTACATGTGACCTTTTTTCTCCTTTTATTATTTTGGTGAAATACATATATTAACTCAGAGGCAAATGGAGACCTACTTTTCATTAGAAGTCTATTTCCATTTTGAGAAATCAATCATATTCATGTTAGAATTTTAAAAAGTATTTGTGGTAGGGCCAGGGTCAATCACACTTATTGTAAAGTCTCAAACTCAGAGCATGGGAATCTAAAGGAAACCCAGGGCTCACTGGCACATTGCAGGTATGCTGACAGGGCCACAGAGGCTGCTATGAAGAAGGGGCTGCCCGAGGTCCCCTTTTGAGCCGACTGCCCTCCCCAGATCACCAGCGCTGCACTGAGTGAAGCACCATACCCAAAGCTCTTTTCCTCCTTAAGCCCCTTGTATGTTCTCTTTTCTCTGCTCAAACTCCTCTCCCCCAAATTCAAATCCCAGCTGAAATGTCATCTGCAGGAGCTCATCCCCACTGATAAACACTTCCTGCTTTTTGCCCTTCTTTTTACCTTTATTTTCTTTAAAGTACTTGTCACAGTTTGAAATAGCCTTTCTTGCTTCTTTTTATTTCTGCTTACTTGATTCTTGTTTCTCTTCTCTAAAATATCAGCTCCACGAGGGAAGGGGAAAGACTGTATCCCCATCTGCCAGAATATGCTTGCCACAGAGTAGGTGTCCAGTGAACACTTGGGAATAAATGGATGAGTGAGTGTGGATGCCTCACTGAGGACTGTCACATGCCAAAGTGGCCTCGCTTCAGGTCACATGACCTTCTTGGTTCTGTTTCTTTCAGAAATCAATTCCATGTCAGCTCGAGTCCTGCTCTTGCTGGTGGTCCCAGGCCATCTGATTTTCTTCTACATCATCTACCTGGTGGAGGGTCAGTCAGTCATAAACAGCCAGACCTTTGTGGTGCTCTACCTGCTGGCAGGCCTGATCCAGGTAAGCCTGGCTGCAGCAATTAGAGGTGCGCAGCTGTGTAGTCAGCCAGCAGGCTTGATCTCTTGTCTGAGTGAGAGGCTGAGGGAGGCGGGTGGGGGTGGCTGGACGTGTGGGGCACAGTCCTTATCTTCCAGGAGTTGAGTCAACTTGTCAAATACAGAGGCCATTCCACACTGCACACCACATGCTACATGCCACACACTCCACACCACACAGCGCATCCCACACACTCCACACCACACCACAAACTCCACACCACACACTGTACCCCACACACTCCACACCACACACTTCACACCACACACTCCACAACACAGTGCAACCCACACACTCCACACCACACACTTCACACCACACACTCCACACCACACAGTGCACACCACACACACTACACACTGCATGTCACAGTGCATGCCACATGCATGCTACAGAGTGTGTGCTGCATGCTACATGCTATACAGCTTACGCTACGTACTGCACTGCATACTACACATGTCATCTTGCACATCACTCGTCACATTATGTACTGCATGCTAGACACGGCACACAACATGCCACACACTGCGCGCAGCACATTCATCATCACAGGATAAGAGGAGCAGCCCTGAGGATGAAGCATGTTCCCACGGAACAGGCTGAGGAGTGGTCCAGCTATCCACTGCCTCCCCAACGGTGGGTGGGCAGGGCCAGACCCCTGCAGGGTCTGCTGCTGCAAGGCATGCGTAGACATTGATCAGGGCTGGACAGCAGTAAGCATGGTGAAGGAGATTAAGCTGGTGCCTGTGTTGGGCAGGTATTCAGCACACTGCCTAGACTGCAGCGGGCTGATGGTCCCCAGTGGGTCTGGGGCCTTTGCAGGGAGCACCGTGGGCGCTGGAGGGCAATTCTATGGGTGTGGTGCTGGTACTGGCACTTTCTCATCTCCCAGAGTTTATGGCATTTGTAATTGTGGTATGTTCCTGACCCTAAAGGGTAGGATTAGGGAAATCCCAGAAGTTGTCCTGAGCAGCAGCAGCTTATGACTCCAGTTGGGGAGAAGGAAGGAGCTGGGGTTAGCCTGGACAAGGGATTGAGGAGCCATGAGACCTGAGCAGGCTTGTGTGGACTACCCCATGGCACCTTCAGGAAGGGCTGACTGTCCTAACCTCCAGGGGAGAAGGGCTCAGGCAAACCCAAATGGACATCTCGGCAAAGTCCCATGAGTAGAGCCTATCGCAGCAGAGAGAGCCCCAGCTGGTGAGTGGCAGTGGGTCTGATTGGCCCTTCAGGGTGCCAGAAGCTGGGCCCACTAGAGGGAGGCTAGGTAAGTACAGATGAGGGTCACCTCTCTAGCCACTGCTTGAGCTCGGAGCTGGGCTTCAGACCCCAAGAGAAGCTGGATGAAGGAGGCTGGCTGGGGTTGACCTGTCCACCTTGGTATCTCTCCTTGAGCCTCAGCTAGTGCTTCCTGCCTGTACTTGACTTTCTGACTTGGTCTTCTTTTGTGTCTCTTTGCCCTTCTGACAGGTGACAATCCTGCTGTACCTCGCAGAAGTGATGGTTCGGCTGACTTGGCACCAGGCCCTGGATCCTGACAACCACTGCATCCCCTACCTTACAGGGCTGGGGGACCTGCTCGGTACTGGCCTCCTGGCACTCTGCTTTTTCACTGACTGGCTACTGAAGAGCAAGGCAGAGCTGGGTGGCATCTCAGAACTGGCATCTGGACCTCCCTAACTGGGCCCCGCTGGTCCCATTTGCTCATTAGAATTTCCTCTCACATCAGTGGGATACAGAATTCAGTTTCTCCCTTGCCAGGTCCTTGGGATGGTTGACCCCTGCCTCTGCAGTAGCCTTTTGTGAGTCTGCTAAGGTAGCTCTCACACACCTCGGCTCTGGGGTTGATACCTGAGCCTGCAATAGAGCCCTGAAATCAAGAGCATGGCTTGAGTGTGTGAATATGATGTGTGCACATGCTTAATGAGCGTGCAAGTGTGCACACGTTTGTGGAGAGGAGGGTGTTCTGGCCTGAGAAGGTAAAGAAGAGGCATGTCCAGTATGCTTTGCAGGGTGTGTTTGCTCTTTTCCATGCCCATGCAACCCAGATTGGGGTGGAGCAGGAAGGAGCTCTTTTCTGTTCCCAAGCCTCAGAACTCTTGAGCTGTGGCTTACTTGCTGTCTTCACCAGGTTCAAGCTCCGTGGGCCACACTGCTGCTGTGCCAAGAAGGTGTACAGCCTCCCCAGGATGGGGCCTCATACAACCCTTCATCTGCACTCAACATTTAATCGTGTCCTTGCTGTCTTTTTATTTTCCTTTTTGTTTGTTAGCAAAAACCTCTATTTAGATTTCAATAATCAGAGAAGTGTAAAATAAAACAGATTATATTGTACTTGACCCTTTATGTCTTTAAAGATAGTTAATGCAACCCTGAGGCTTGGGGTCTATAAATAACAAAAGCATCTGGCATTTCTCTAGTGCAGTGTTTCTCAAAGTGGCCTTCAGCCTAGAAACGTCAGTGTCACCAGGAAACTTGTTAGAAGTGCAAATTATTATCCCTCACCCCCTGGCCTGACTAGCCAAATCAGCATTTCTTGGGAGTAGAGCCAGCTATATGGGTTCCACAAGCCCTCCAGGTTTCTCATACACACCCACGTTTGAGAACTACTACTCGAGAACATCATCTTTAAAAAATGTATGATCATTTCCTGTCTCTTATTAACTCATCAGGACAACTGTAGCCATGCTTGGACTTGAAGATTATTATCTTCATGTGGTAAAACAGACATCTATTCATGTATTCAACAAATGTTGATATAGAACCTCTTGTTTTAATGTTCTAGAAGGAAAGACATGGTACATTAACTGGAATAATTGAGCAGACTTTAAGGAAGGCACAGTTTATAGGTGCATGGGGACCAGAAGAAGGGGTGAAGCATCCTGGGGCCAGGCACTACCAGACATTCACCTGTCCTGGAGAATAGTTGGGATTGTGGTTTCCTGAGATGCATGGGGATCTCTAAGAAAGAGACACAGCTACATCAGCTTGTGGCCTGGCAGAGAAAGCCAGGGAAATAAATATCCCAATCTCATTCTCTGTCCACCCTATTATCTCCTGCCAGTGTCTCCCATTGGCCAAACCCAACCAGAAGTTCAATGACTGGGGAGCCGCTTGACGATCCACAGAGGTTTCAGCCTCCTGGGGCACAGAGCCAGGGGAGGCTGGGGATAGATCTGGAGAGGCAACTGGAGAATATTCAGCACAACTATATGCCAAGCTCCATGCTAGATACTGGGGACACACTTGTGGGCAAATCACTCATCATCCCTGGTTCAAGTCCCTACTAGGAGAGATAGTCAACATCACACAAGTATTGAAAGTCCAGCTCTGATAAGTCTTGCAAAAGACAAGCATGTGATGCTACTGAAGCATGTAATGAGAGCTAAGATCTATCAAGCATCTTCTGTGTGTCTGGTTGTATCCTAAACATTTGACGTGTAAACTCTGATAACCTCACATTAAGTGATGCAGTACATACCACTCCCATTTGTAGATGACTGAAGCATTGTGAGGCTTCTTAACGTTACCAAAGCCCTATGGCTAGTGAGTGGTGGACTGATTTGAACAGACATTTGGGCTCAGACCCAAGCGATGTGTGTGCCAAAGAGGTTTGACCAACACCGTGTTACAAGATCCTAGAGGTGTTGCTTTTCCAGCCAGAAACCTCTGTGGCCAGTGGTGCCTTTGCCTGAGTTTTGCTCAGGCCCACTGGGCTTGTTCTGTCCACTCGGCCTGGCAGGCTGCGCTCAGCTCACGCTACCAGCCTGGGATCCCACACCTGCCAAGGGTGAGCCAGGCATGGAGTAATGAGGGGTATGTGAGCGAGTGAGCATGAGGTCCAACCACTGCACACAGCCAGGCACCCCAGCTGCTGTGGCAGGGCAGGCAGCTCCAGGCACTGGCACAGGCGCCGGCTCCATGCAAGGCTGCAACTGGATCAGATGTACCACAAGCAGCTTCCACTGCAGTTACCCACATCTGGACAAGGGGAACATGGTGGTGCCCAGAAGCTTGGAGACACCAGGTACCGCAGAGCCCCAAAGAGGGTGTCACAGCTCTGGCCTGGGGAGCTCTAAGGTCTGGGCTCCCAGAAGGGCTACAGCTCTTCTCTCCTTCTCATCGCCTGCCACATGGCAAGTGGGGGGCATGTTTCAGCCCTGTATTACAGCTGTTTGAGTCTTGCCATTCAGCGTGTCCCGAGTTTTTGTCCTGCCTCCAGGAGGAATGAGGTATGCAGACAACTGGAGGGTGAGCAAGACAGAGGGGAGCTTCACCAAGTGACAAAACAGCTCTCAGGAGACCCGGAGTGGGTAGCTGTTTTCCACAGGCAGGTCGTCCCAACAAGTGTGAGTCTGCCTGAGTCCAGGGTTTTTAATGGGCACAGAAGGGAGGAAGTGCATGCTGATTGGTCCATGAATGGCCATGGGTGGGCCTGGAAAAAGCACCATAAGTTCTCACTCCGGGCTGCCAACTCCACCCTGAACTGGCAGCCCGGTCCCCAGGCTTCAGGCCATTCCTGGATCGAAGTGGGGGTTTCAACAAGACCCCACCCCTTTCTGCCCAGGAACCTGTCTGCCTCCTGCTACCGACCTGCTGTCCATGGTATGGTGCCCAGGCTGTTTGTGTCAAAGGGCACCTGCAGGCCTGTGCCAAGCTGCCCCTAACCACCTCCCAGCCTCCCTCCCAAAGGAGGGGACCCAAAGTTGGCACCCAAAGCCCAGAGAGGGGTGAGGCAGTGGTGGGGCTGGCATGTCAATGCCACCCTGAGTGCACACAAATTCGGCTGGGTTATGACAGTATCATCTGGGCTTGGCTTCCACTTTGCTCTGAAATTATAGTGGGTGCCAGGAGTAGGGAGAGGCCAGGGAGTGGGAGCAGGCACTTCTGAGCCTGCAGGGGCAGGGGGGCTTCTGGGGCCCTGAGAGCACAGGGATGCCTGGGTCCAGAGCCACGGCTGGGTGGCTGCAGCTGTGCCCAGGAGCGCAGGGCTCTTGCCCCACCAATTAAGTAGGGCACGGGGCCCTCGCCTGTTCCTGGCTCCTGCCGGCCCCGTGGAGTATGCAAACCCAGCTGTGTCTCCCCCACTGCAGCTGGCATGTTCACATCTGCTGCTCCAGATGGGCCGCCTCTGCCATCAATCCCCCCTCTGAAGAGGTACATCTGCCATTAGGATAGGAACAATGACTGTTCTTAACTGCTTCATGTTGACAAAGGGCATTGTTTTGGGAAAAGTTGCAGTCAAGAGATTCTCTCAGAGGCCTATCTAGGGTCCCCAGTTAAATGGAGCCGTTGTCCGAGACTCCCTTTGAATGACCATTTGGACTTTGATGGCCTGAAGGTGAGAAGAGACAAACCAGGTTATTAGAAGACATGGATCAAAATGAAACAAGGGGATAGGGACAGCTAAAAAATCCCGAGGCTGCCAACACACCCAGATAACTGGTGGCTACAGTTGTAGTATATATAGGTGGCTAAGATTTGGGTGCATGGGGTATGACTCTAGTTAGCTCCTTTTGTCTCTTTCCCCAAAAAGGAGACCTCTGGGTTATGGGCACCCTGTTTATCCAGATGATGATCTGGCACGATTTGCAGGATAATTACCCAGAATTAGAATATTGATCCAGATTTTTACATTACTCATCCCTTTTGTATCTTCTGAGCTGCAGCCAGAGTTCAAGTTCAAAGTCATGAGAATATGGGCCTTAAAGTGACAGGGATGTTAAATGAGAAGTAGATCTGAATTAGTGTCCAGGTGAAAATGGAAGTAAAATTCAAGCACAGTTTCAAGGTCTAGGTCAAGTTAAAGGTTAAGGTAAGTTCTAGGAAATTTCAAGCTTGAATTTCAGTCAGGAGCGATATGAAGGTTAAGTTCAAAGGCCAAGGTCTAAATCAAGTTCAAGTTCAAATCAGAGCTACACTTGCTGTGCATGTGAAGTGGTCCAAAGGTTTTCATCAAAATCAAGGAGAAATTTAAGGTACCGGTCAACTTCAAGTGTGCACATAAGGCTACATCTGGTAGATGGTAATAATAAAAGGATAGGAAGAAAGTCTTAACCGGTCAATAAAAGATCAAAATCAGTGCCAAAGTCAAGTCAAGATTATATTCAACTTTGCAATTAGTGCTGTATATGATCTGGTTATTGTTCAAAAATAGGATGAGTGTTAGAACTACAGCAAAGCTCAAGGTCAAGATTAGTGTCAAGTTAAAGATCAAGTTCCAAATTTGTGCTAGACATGGCCTAGACATAAGGTGGGAAACAGGATTTTGTTTGAGTTGAGATCAAGTCAAGGTCAAGGTAAAATTTAAAGTCAGCATCAAAGGGAAGATCAACACCAATGTCATATAAAAATCAAGGCCAAGTTCAAGTAAATGTGAAAGGAATGTCATCTAGATGGTGGAGAATGAGTGTACAAAGAGTGATTGTCAAGTACACAAAATTTGGTGTCACAGAAGTTAAAGTTAGATGAGAGAACAAATATGCAAAAAGTGACTGCTGGATTACACAGTAAGTGTACATGAGCGGAGGTTCAATAGCACCTAGTAAGTTTGACAGGATTTGTTGAATGACACAGTGAGTGTGCAAAGCATGAAAGTTGTAAGGTGCTGAATGAGTTTAATTTTTTTTTATTATTATACTTTAAGTTCTAGGGTACATGTGCACAACGTGCAGGTTTGTTACTTAGGTATACATGTGCCATGTTTGTTTGCTGCACCCATTAACTCGTCATTTACATTAGGTATTTCTCCTAATGCTATCCCTCCCCCTGCCCCCTACCCCATGACAGGTCCCCGTGTGTGATGTTCCCCGCCCTGTGTCCAAGTGTTCTCATTGTTCAATTCCCACCTATGAGTGAGAACGTGCGGTGTTTGGTTTTCTGTCCTCCTAAGTTCTTTGTACATTCTGGATATTAGCCCTTTGTCAGATGGACAGATTGCAAAAACTTTCTCCCATTCTGTAGGCTGCCTGTTCACTTTGATGCCAGTTTCTTTTGCTGTGCAGAAGCTCTTTAGTTTAATTAGATCCCATTTGTCTATTCTGGCTTTTGTTGCCATTGCTTTTGGTGTTTTAGACATGAAGTCTTCGCCCATGCATGTGTCCTGAATGGTATTGCCTAGGTTTTCTTCTAGGGTTTTTATGGTTTTAGGTCTTAGGTTTAAGTCTTTAATCCATCTTGAGTTAATTTTTGTATAAGGTGTAAGGAAAGGGTCCAGTTTCAGTTTTCTGCATATGGCTGGCCAGTTTTCCTGACACCATTTATTAAATAGGGTATCCTTTCCCCATTGCTTTTGTCAGGGTTGTCAAAGATCAGATGGTTGTAGATGTGTGGCATTATTTCTGAGGCCTCTGTTCTGTTCCATTGGTCTATGTATCTGTTTTAGTACCAGTACCATGCTGTTTTGGTTACTGTAGCCTTGTGGTATAGTTTGAAGTCAGGTAGCATGATGCCTCCAGCTTTGTTCTTTTTGCTTAGGATTGTCTTGGCTATACGGGCTGTTTTTTGGTTCCATATGAAATTTAAAGACGTTTTTTCTAATTCTGTGAAGAAAGTCAATGGTTGCTTGATGAGGAGAGCGTTGAATCTATAAATTACTTTGGGCAGTATGGCCATTTTCACAATATTGATTCTGTCTATCCATGAGCATGGAATGTTCTTCCATTTGTGTCCTCTCTTATTTCTTTGAGCAGTGGTTTGTAGTTCTCCTTGAAGAAGTCCTTCACAGCCCTTGTAAGTTGTATTCCTAGGTATTTTATTCTCTTTGTAGCAGTTGTGAATGGGAGTTCACTCATGATTTGGCTCTCTGTTTGTCTGTCATTGGTGTATAGGAATGCTTTTGATTTTTGCACATTGATTTTGTATCCTGAGACTTTGCTGAAGTTGCTTATCAGCTTAAGGAGATTTTGGGCTGAGACAATGGGGTTTTCTAAATATATAATCATGTCATCTGCAAACAGAAAACTTGACGTCCTCTCTTTCTATTTGAATACACTTTATTTCTTTCTCTTCCTTGATTGCCCTGGCCAGAACTTCCAATACTATGTTGAATAGGAGTGGTGAGAGAGGGCATCCTTGTCTTGTGCCAGTTTTCAAAGGGAATGCTTCCAGCTTTTGCCCATTCAGTATGATATTGGCTGTGGGTTTGTCATAAATAGCTTTCATTATTTTGAGATACATTCCCCATCAATACCTAGTTTATTGAGTTTTTAGCATGAAGGGGTGTTGAATTTTATCGAAGGCCTTTTCTGCATCTATTGAGATAATCATGTGGTTTTTGTCATTGGTTCTTTTATGTGATGGATTACATTTATTGATTTGCATATGTTGAACCATGCTTGCATCCCAAAGATGAAGCCAACTTGATAGTAGTGGATAAGTTTTTTGATGTGCTGCTGGATTCAGTTTGCCAGTATTTTATTGAGGATTTTCACATTGATACTCATCAGGGATATTGGCCTGAAATTTTTTTTTGTTGTGTCTCTGCCAGGTTTTGGTATCAGGATGATGCTGGCCTTATAAAATGAGTTAGGGAGGAGTCCCTCATTTTCTATTGTTTGAAATAGTTTCAGAAGAAATGGTGCCAGCTCCTCTTTGTGCCTGTGGTAGAAATCAGCTGTGAATCTGTCTGATCCTGGGCTTTTTTTTGGTTGGTAGGCTATTAAATAATAAAATAAAAACGTGTTATTGGTCTATTCAGGGATTCAACTTCTTCCTGGTTTAGTCTTGGGAGGGTGTATGTGTCCAGGAGTTTATCCATTTCCTCTAGACTTTCTAGTTTATTTGCATAGAGGTGTTTATAATATTCTCTGATGCTAGTTTGTATTTCTGTGGGATCAGTGGTGATATCCCCTTTATCATTTTTTATTGTGTCTGTTTGATTCTTCCCTCTTTTCTTCTTTATTAATTGGCTACCAGTCTATTTTGTTGATCTTTTCAAAAAAAACAGCTCTTGGATTCATTTTTTAAAGGTTTTTTTGTGTCTCTATCTCCTTCAATTCTGCTCTGATCTTAGTTATTTCTTGTCTTCTGCTAGCTTTTGAATTTGTTTGCTCTTGTTCCTCTAGCTCTTTTCATTGTGATGTTAGAGTGTCGATTTTAGATCTTTCCTGCTTTCTCTTGTGGGCATTTAGTGCTATAAATTTCCCTTTAAACACTGCCTTAGCTGTGTCTCAGAGATTCTGGTATGTTGTGACTTTGTTCTCAGTGGTTTCAAAGAACTTATTTATTTCTGCCTTAATTTCATTATTTCCTAGCAGTCATTCAGGAGCAGGTTGTTCAGTTTCCATGCAGTTGTGTGATTTTGAGTGAGTTTCTTAATCCTGAGTTCTAATTTGATTGCACTGTGGTCTGAGAGACTGTTATGATTTCCATTCTTTTGCATTTGCTGAGGAGTGTTTTACTTCCAATTATGTGGTCAATTTTAGAATTAATGTGATGTGGTGCTGAGAAGAATGTATATTCTGCTGACTTGGGATGGAGAGTTCTGTAGATGTCTATTAGGTATGCTTGTTCCAGAGCTGAGTTCAAGTCCTGAATATCCTTGTTAATTTTCCATCTCATTGATCTAATATTGACAGTGGGGTGTTAAAGTCTCCCACTATTATTGTGTGGGAGTCTAAGTCTCTTTGTAGGTCTCTAAGAATTTGCTTTATGAATCTTGTGCTCCTGTACTGGGTGCATATATATTTAGGATAGTTAGCTCTTCTTGTTGCATTGATCCCCTTATCATTATGCAATGCCCTTCTTTGTCTTTTTTGATCTTTGCTGGTTTAAAGTCTGTTTTATCAGAGACTATGATTGCAACCCCCTTTTTTTTTTCTTTCCATTTTCTTGGTAAAGATTCCTCCCTCCCTTTATTTTGAGCCTATGTGTGTCTTTGCATGTGAGATGGGTCTCCTGAATGCAACACACCGATGGGTCTTGACTGTTTATCCAATTTGCCAGTCTGTGTCTTTTAACTGGGGCATTTAGTCCATTTACATTTAAGGTTAATATTGTTATGTGCGAATTTGATCCTGTCATTATGATGCTAGCTGGTTATTTTGTCCATTATTAGTTAATGCAGTTTCTTCATAGTGTCGATGGTCTTTACAATTTGGTATGTTTTTACAGTGACTGGTACCTGTTGTTCCTTACCATGTTTAGTGCTCCCTTCAGGAGCTCTTGTAGGGCAGGCCTGGTGGTGACAAAATCTCTCAGCATTTGCTTGTCTGTAAAGAATTTTATTTCTTCTACATTTATGAAGCTTAGTTTGGCTGGATATGAAATTCTAGGTTGAAAATTCTTTAAGAATGTTGAACATTGGCCCCCACTCTCTTCTGGCTTGTAGGGTTCCTGCAGAGAGATCCACTGTTGGTCTGATGGGCTTCCCTTTGTGGGTAACCTGACCTTTCTCTCTGGCTGCCCTTAATATTTTTTCCTTCATTTCAACCTTGGTGAATCTGACAATTATGTGTCTTGGGTTGCTCTTCTCAAGGAGTATCTTTGTGGTGTTCTCTCTATTTCCTGAAATTGAATGTTGGCCTGTCTTGCTAGGTTGGGGAAGTTCTCCTGGATAATATCCTGAAGAGTGTTTTCCAGCTTGGTTCCATTCTCCCTGTCACTTTCAGGTAGATCAATCAAACATAGATTTGGTCTTTTCACATAGTCCCATATTTCTTGGAGGCTTTGTTTGTGCCTCTTTATTCTTTTTTCTCTAATCTTGTCTTCTCACTTTATTTCATTAAGTTGATCTTCAATCTCTGATATCCTTTCTTCCACTTGATTGATTCGGCTATTGACACTTGTGTATGCTTCAGGAAGTTCTTGTGCTGTGTTTTTCAGCTCCATCAGGTCGCTTATGTTCTTCTCTAAACTGGTTATTCTAGTTAGCAATTCGTCTAACCTTTTTTCAAGGTTCTTAGCTTCCTTGCATTGGGTTAGAACATGGTCCTTTAGCTCAGAGGAATTTGTTATTACCCACCTTCTGAAGCCTACTTCTGTCAGTTTGTCAAACTCATTCTCCATCCAGTTTTGTTCCCTTGCTGGTGAGAAGTTGTGATCCTTTGGAGGAGAAGAGGCATTCTGGTTTTTGGTATTTTCAGCCTTTTTGCACTGATTTCTCCCCATCTTTGTGGATTTATCTACCTTTGATCTTTGATGTTGGTGACCTTTGGATGGGATCTCTGAGTGGACATGCTCTTCCTGTTTGTTAGTTTTCCTTCTAACAGTCAGGCCCCTTTGCTACAGGTCTGCTGGAGTTTGCTGGAGGTCCACTCCAGACCATTTGCCTGGGTATCACCAGCAGAGGCTGCAGAACAGCAAAGATTGCTGCCTGTTCTTTCCTCTGGCAGCTTCGTCCAGGGAGGCACCTGCCAGATGCCAGCCAGAGCTTTCCTGTATGAGGTGTCTGTCAGCCCCTACTGGGAGGTGTCTCCTAGTCAGGATATGCGGGGGTCAGGCACCCACTTGAGGCAGTATGACCCTTAGCAGAGCTCGAATGCTGTGTTGGGAGATCCACTGCTCTCTTCAGAGCCATCTGGCAGAAACATTTAAGTCTGCTGAAATTGCGCCTACAGGCACTCCTTTCCCCAGGTGCTCTGGCCCAGGGAGATGGGAGTTTTGTCTAAAAGTCCCTGACTGGGGCTGCTGCCTTTTTTTCAGAGATGCCCTGCCCAGAGAGGGCAAATCTGGCAGTCTGGCCACAGCAGCCTTGCTCAGCTGCAGTGGGCTCTGCCCAGTTTGAACTTCCCAGTGGCTTTGTTTACACTGTGAGGGTAAAACCGCCTACTCAAGCCTCAGCAATGGCGGATGCCCCTCCCTGCACCAAGTTCAAGTGTCCCAGGTTGATCTCTGACTGCTGCTGTGCAGGCAGCGAGAATTTCAAGCCAGTGGATTTTAGTTTGCTGGGCTCCACAGGGGTGGGACCACTGAGCCAGACCACTTGGCTCCCTGGCTTCAGCACCCTTTCCAGGGGAGTGAATGGTTTTGTCTCACTGTCTCACTGGCATTCCAGGCACCACTGGGGTATGGGAAAAAACAAACAAACAAACAAAAAACCTTGTGCAGCTATTTCGGTGTCTGCCTAAACGGCCACCCAGTTTTGTGCTTGAAACCCAGGGCCCTGGTGGGGTAGGCACTGGAGGGAATCTCTTGGTCTGCAGGTTGCGAAGACCATTAGGAAAAGTGCAGTATCTGGGCCAGAGTGCACAGTTCCCCAGGTTCAGTCCCTTACAGCTTCCCTTGGGTAGGGGAAAAAATTCCCCGACCCCTGGCACTTCCAGGGTGAAGCAACACCCCACCCTGCTTTGGCTCGCCCTCCGTGGGCTGCACCCACTGTCCAACCAGTCCCATTGAGATGAACCAGGTACCTCAGTTGGAAATGCAGACATCATCCACCTTCTGCATTGATCTTGCTGGGAGCTGCAGACTGGAGCTGTTCCTATTCAGCCATCTTGCCAGCAATCCGATGTCATTTTTTTCTTTTATTCATCTTCTCAAACTGAAACTCTGTACCAATCAAACAGTACCTTTCCATCCCCTCTTCTCCCTGACCCTAACAACTACCATCCTAGTTTCTACGAATTTGACTACTCTAGAAACTATATAAATGGAATAATACAATATTTGTCCTTTTGTGACTGGCTTATTTCACTTAGCATAATGTCTTCAAGCTTCATCTATATTGTAGCATGTGTCAAAATGTTTCTTTCTGAGGCCAAATAATATTCCATTGTATGTATGTACCATATTATTCACTGTTTTAATTAATATGACACATCCTAAAAATCCACAATTAGAATTTAATTCATATATTAAATTTATTTTATGTAAAATGTCAAGCAAACAATACATATTTGCTTAATATGTGTCTACTTAAGGTGTCACCTTAAGTCTACTTAAGGTGAAAAAGAAATTGAGATATTTTATACCAGAAGTAACTACTACACTAAGTTCAGACTATATTAATCCCCTAAACATGTTCTATAGTCCCAAATTCTTTGAAATATACAAGTTAATTCAAGATACAGAACAGAGTTCTTAACTCTGGTTCCTTTTATGTACATTCTTTAGAATGCCTGATTAGACCAGCAAATAAAAACTCTACCTTTCTCTTTATCTACATCTCATTGTCTTAATCTTTCTCTTTAGACTTACATAGCACTGTTGTTTTCTTAATTTTTTTTTTGTTTTAAAAGTGACATGATGCATTACCTTTTGTGTAGAAAAACAGGAAAAAATAGGCATTTGTTTTTACCTGCATCCAATATCTTGGGAGTTATGCCAGAAACAGTTAATCACGGTTGCCTCTGGGGAGAGAAACTGAGTATCTGGGGGACAGAGCAAGAAGGGACACTTTCCATGGTATACTATTTTATATCTTAATAACTTTATATCAGATAAATATAATCTCTATTCAAAATAATTTTAAATAAACATGAGTTAAAGTCCCTGATTCCCCCTAGTTCCACCCTCCAGATGTAGTCACTGTTGGCAGTTTCATTTATAATTTCTCTTGACATATTTACATATTTCATCTCAAGATAGCTTTGAGCAGTAACTACCAAACTTTCTGAAGTTATATATTCTATTATATGCTTGAATATGTGCTCCATCCTTCTAAGAATGTCACTGAGAATACATTTTTTAAAAATTGGGTTGATAAGAGTTATACTTCTTGAGATAACTTGGATTATGATGGAGGGTCATGAAGCCAGCAGTGAGAACCAACAATGTAGGAAATAAGACCTTGTGTAACATCACTCCACTGGTCTCTGTGTCACACTCTCAGGGTCTTTCCCTTTGGTATATCTATGTCAATGTCCTCGCTGGAATTATAATAAAAAATCCAAGCCATGACACTATAATACTACACCCTGGATCGAGTCCAAAAACAACTACCACAATTATTCTTTCAAAAAAAAAAATTTTTTTTTTTGAGACAGAGTTTCGCTCTTTATTTTGCCCAGGCTAGAGTGCAATGGCGCAATCTCAGCTCACCGCAACCTCCACCTCCTGGGTTCAAGCAATTCTCCTACCTCAGCCTCCCGAGCAGCTGGGATTACAGGCATGCGCCACCATGCCTGGCTAATTTTGTATTTTTTAGTAGAGTCAGGATTTCTCCATGTTGGCCAGGCTGGTTTTGAACTCCCGACCTCAAGTGATCCGCCTGCCTCAACCTTCCAAAGTTGCTGGGATTACAGGCATGAGCCACCGCACCCAGCTGAAAAAAAATTTTTTTAAAGTACACTGTCTAAGGTACATGTCTGGCATAACTATAAGATTATATATGGCGTTTCTCAAAAAAATATACACAAGGCTATATTATAGAAAATCTGGTAAAGAAAATTACCCATGATAAAAGCACCTTGAGACAGTAGCTATCATATTGGAACAATTCCTTTCCCTTTTTTTTGTAGTTTCTACTATGAAATAATAGAACAAAGAAGTCCTATATATGCTTCACTCAGATTCCGTGACCCTTGACATTTTCCATTTTCCATGTTCTCTCTCAATATATATACACAGCATTACTTTTTGCCTGAACCATTAGAGTTAAGTTGCAGATATACTACTCCTTTACGCCTAAATAGTTCCTAAAAACAAGGCCATTCTCTAATATAACCACAGTATAATTATCAAAACCAGGAAATTAACATTGATACAGAATTATGATCTAATGTTTAGACCTTATTCGCATGTTGCCAATTATCCCAATACTGTCCTTTACCAAAAAAAAAAAAAAAAAATCCCTCTGGTTCACGCCAAATCCAGGATCACATGTTGCATTAAATTGTCATAGCTCTTTAGTCTCCTTTAATCTATAACAGTTCCTCAGGCTGTCATTCATTGTCTGTTATAACCTTGACATATTTAAAGAGAATAAGCCAGTTATTTTGTACAGTGTCCCTCTGGACATTTAGATTTGTCTGATGTTTACCTATGATTAGACACAGGTCATGCATTTTTGGCAGGAATCCACAAAAGAGGTATGTTCTTCTCAATACAATAAATAGACACATGTCAGTTTGTCCCATTATTGATGATGTAAACTTTATTACCTAAGATGGTGTCTGCCAGGTTTTTTATTGTAGTTTCTACTTTTATCTTTGTAGTTGTTAAGCATTTTGTGAAGAGACACTTTGAGACTATATAGATATCCCAATCATCAAACTTTCACCCCATAGTTTTAGCATCCATTGATGATTCTTGGCTGAATCAATTGTTTGACAAATGGTGATTTTCTACCTATGTAATTCCTTCTACATTTATTAGTTGGCATTCAACTTTAGGGAAGCACTTTTTCTTTCTTCCTTGTTAGTGGGGACTCACTGATTCCTATTTTCTTCAGTGGGTTATGATCCCTTATTATCACTTTATTTTGATGCTCAAATTGTCTCAAATTTGGTCACTGGGAGCCCCTTGAAGTTGACTCCTGTATCATTTTAACATGCCCCCATTACTTTTTGAGCCGTTCCTTACTTTCTACAACAAGGTGCTCCCAGTTCATCTTTTTTTTTTTTTTAATAATTGCCACAAGGGTATTTAAAATGAGATCTACCTTCTCAACAAAATGTAGTATTAACTATAGACATGATATTGTTCAGCAGATCTCAAGAATTTCTTCATCTCACATAAATGTAACTTTATACTCGCTGAATAGCAACGCCATCTCTCTCTTCTAACAGCCCCTAGGAACCACCATTCTATTCTGTTTCTATGAGTTTTAACTATTTTAGATACTTTATATAAGTAAAATCATGCAGTATTTGTCCTTCGGTGACTAGCTTATTTCACTTAGCATAATCTCTTCAAGGTTCATCTCTATTATTGCATATGACAGCTATTTCCTTCTTTTTAAAGGTTGAATAATAGTCCATTGTATGTATATACCATATTTTATCTATTCATCTGTAGATAGACATTTACGTTGTTCCTACATCTTGGCTATTGTGAATAGTGCTGCAATGAACACAAGAGTGCAAATATCTCTTCTATATCCTGATGTCAATTCTTTTGGATAAATGCCCAGAAGTAGAATTGCTGGGTGATATAGTTCTATTTTTAATTTGGTGAGGAATCTCCATATTGTTTTCCATAGTGGCTATACCATTTTACATTCCCACTGACAGTGTACAAGGGTTCCAATTCTTCCAAATCCTTGCCAATACTTGTTTTTGTTTTTGCAATAAGTCATCCTAACAGGTGTTAGGTGATAGCTCATTGTGGTTTTAATTTGCATTTCCTTGATGATTAGTGATGTTGAGCATCTTTTTATATACCTGTTGGTCCTCTGTACGTCTTCTTTGGAAAAATGTCTATTCAAATCCTTTTTTCATTTTTTAACCAGATCATGTGTTGTTCTGCTTTTGAATTACAGAAATTCCTTATATGTATTTTGGATATTAATTATTTATCAGATACATGGCTTGGATTTCTCCCATTCTGTAGATTGCCTTTTCACTCCATTAATCATTTCCTGTGCTGTGCAGAAGCTTTTTAGTTTGATGTATCCATGCTCTTGTTATATTACCCCTGCTCAGCCCTGGAGTTGGTCATTTCTCCAAGACACCATGACTCCTGAGTGGACAGTGGTACTTGGAAACCAAGATCTAGGTAATAGATGTGTTCTTTGCTATTGGGGCTTCCAATCTTTTTTCATATGCATTTTTTACTTAGTCATATTAACTAGATATTTGCAATTTTGAATCTTGTGTTTTCTACTTTTAAATCTTTTTCATATTAATACTCAAAAATGTTTAATGGTTGTATAATATTTCTTTCAGTGGAAATAATATAATATGGTCTTGGTTTGTTTCATATTTTTCATAATTAAAAAAACCTGGAATAAACCTTTCTACCTCTTGAAAATAGCCTTCTCATATTTAGGATTAAAAGGAAAATTATTTGGTGAAAGGTTATTGGCAATTTAATAACTCTTGATACAAACTGCAAAGCTGCCCTCCAAAAGGAGTGTCCTGATCACAATACAGGAGAATCAGTTTGCTTTATTTTACACTTACTTCTATGGGGTTATTATCATTAAACTTTTAATTTTGCTATTTGAGAATCATATAAGCATTTCTTGGTAGTCATATCTCCTACCAAGAAGTACAAGATAATACTGCCCTTGTAGAATGACTTAGAGTGTACTAAGGTCTTTCATTTCCACTTAATCCATACCCTGTTATTATTTCTGTGAGGTAGGAACCTAAATTTCAGGAAAGTGGTTTGTTCAAAGTCATACATCTACTAGGTAAAATGTCTAAAAGAAGAATGGACTCTGGCATCAGCTTTGTGAGTCTGAATCTTGATTCCACAGCTGTGTAACCGTTAGGAAGTTATTTGAACCCTCCAGCCCTCAATTTCCTCATGTGTAAAAGACGGATAATGGTACCTACCTCATAAGGATATTGCGACTATGAAATGGGTTATTCTATGTAATACATAAAAGCACTTAAGAGTAGTATCTGCCACATAAGTCCTATCTAAATGTTAGCTGCTGTTATCATTAAGACGGTGGCAAACTACGTGTTTTCAAAGGAACTAAATTCTGTTGCATGTCTACGCCAATTGTGTGATGGATGTTTTTACCGGGTTCTCTCATTTAACCTTCCCAATTCTTTGAGACAGAATTTTATGCTTGTTTCTGCCTATTTTGCAGCTTAGGAATAGTAAGTTCCGAGAAGTAAAAAGTAGTGGAATCCCAATGTGCAAATACCTGAAGCTAAGAGAGCTTAAGTCACTGGACCCAGCGGCGAAGGCTGGGACTTGAACCCCGGCCTGACCCGAAAGCCGGCGCTCTAGAGGGCTACGACGATTTAAACAGAAACACATCTAGAGACCAAGCGGCTGTGTTACGAAGGTAAGATTAGGTGTTTCCTGCACCTCTGTCCCAGCACTTAAATGTCGCCGCACGGTCTCTTTTTTCGAGCAGAGTTTTACAAGTTTCTGGCCCGAAAACCCCCCTGTCCCTCTCCATCCCCACAGTGGACTCCTCAGGTCCTCAGCCCTCACCCGGCCCAGTTGAGATCCGGACATGACCATCTCTCGCAGCCTCAGAGAAGCCCAGACCGAGGTAAGTGAAGCCTCACAGAAAAAACAACCGCCGTGGGCTCCCGGACCTTCTTGGCCCGCCCCCCGAGCTTCCGCTTCCGGAAAGGATCACGCCGAAGGCCGCACTTCATAGTCTCCGACGCACCTCCAAACCCTTTCTCCTGCTCTAGGCCCAGCGCCTTGGACGTGCACAGTAGATCCCTCCCGGCTTCCCGGCTTCCCGTCTCGTCACCCTCTGGTAGGGGATGGGAGAAGCCAATAGCCGGCAAACGGGGCGGGGGCGAGGCATGGCTGGGGCGGGGCCGGGGCGGAGCCGCCGAGAAAAGGGTTAAGAAGCCGTTCCAGGGCTTGCGGTGGGGGTTCGGGACGAGGACCCGCCAGCGCCAGAGGAAGGGACAGGAGTAGGAGGCGGATAGGTTTCAGAAGGAATTGCGCGCAACTTTTTGGATTTTCGCTCTTTATTTTTAGTTTGGCATCGTGTGCCTTTTGGATGATTTTGTTCTTGATATTCTATAAAAATAAGACCTCCAGGTTGTTATCTTGCGTAGATGTGATGCCAATTTCAGAATTATTCCCTGTGGCCACTGATCTCAGAACGATGCTCGTTAGTTGGGATTTTGGGTTTACTTCCATGCGTACTTGTCTCCTCTTGTGTTGAGGTAATTACTTTTGATGAAGAATGACACAACATTCTTAGTATTGGCATGTGCACTCATTTTAATGAGGATTTTAGTCATTGGTTTTGGGGTTTAGGAATTGGGTTTTGGGTTGATGATTTAAATCAAGTTGAAGAGGGAGAACTCAGTTGATTCCATTTCAACTGTCGCCCAGGCTGGAGTGCTGTGGTGCCATCGCAGCTCAATGCAACCTTCGCCTCCCGGTTTCCAGCGGGATTCTCCTGCCTCAGCCTCCTGAGGAGCTGGGATTACAGATGCGCTCCACCACAGGCGGCTAATTTTTGTATTTTTAGTAGAGACGGGGTTTCACCATGTTGGCCAGTCTGGTCTCGAACTCCTGACCTCAGGTGATCTGCCCACTTTGGCCTCCCAAAGTGCTGGGATTACAGGCGTGAGCCACGATGCCCAGCCTCGTTTCTTTTTAATGGAGAAAAGAGCTACCCTTTAAAAATCTGTTACAATTAATGTCAAAGCCCAGGAACTAAAATATGTCCACCAATATATCACACACTTATCCTGAGTGATTTTAGGAAACTTGAGTATTTCACAGATTTAGTTTTGAATTAGATCAAACTGTGAAAACCTCTCCTTTCCTTCCCCAGCCCTCACATAACTTCATAACTTTCTAACATATTCACCTGAAATTAAGGGGTTTTTTTTTAGTTGTTGGTTTTTAAAAATTCATGTTGACTTTTCTTAATACATGTTTATTTTAGAAAATATAGATAAGCAAAAAAGGAAAAGACCACCCATAACCCCATTGCCCGTGAGTTATCACTCTGAACAGCTTGGTGCATTCCCTTCAAGATTTTTTCCACCTACGTATATATGTATAAATGTATTACAACAATATGAAATAATAGGTATTACTGTAACATGAGTGTTTTCTCTTAATATCTAATCAACATTGTTTCTCATTAATCTACAGTTATAAAATGGCTGCCTGGTGTTCCATGATTCATTTCCCTAGTGTTGGGAATGTTATGCCCCCACCCCACTTTTCATTTTGTTATTTGCTATTATAAATAATGTTGCAGTGAGCTGAGATCTGCAAATGAACTAGAGAGTGGAGAGCAGAGTATTCTAAAGATGTGGAGACAGCATGATGCTGAGAAAGAGAAACCCAGAGAGGCTCTTGCTGCTGAAGTATAGACAGTGGGGATGGAAATGTATGTAGGGCCAGACTATACAGTCCTCATAGGCTACATGATTTGGCTTATTATCCTAAGGCCATTGGGAATATGTAAAAGTTCAAGCAGGGGGCACAGTGAACTGACTGGGGTTTTACAAAGATCCATGGCTGTAGTGTAGAGCAGGAATCTGAAATCTACAGTCCCTGGCTAAATTCAGTCTGCCATTCTTGGATACAGCCTGAGAACAATTTTCACATTTTCAAGTAGTTTTTTTTAAGTGAAAGGAATAATATTTTGTGATGTGAAAAGTTACCTGAAAATCATCTCAGTGTTATAAAGTTTTATTGGAACACAGTCACACTAATGTGTTTACACATTATCTGTGCTACAACTGCCAAAGTTGAGTATTTGTGATAGAGACCACCTAGCCGGCCAAGCCTAAGATATTTACTATCTGTGCCTTTACAGAAGTTTGCTGATCACTAGCATAGAGGATGCTTGAGGGAAAGGCAAGTATGGGTGTGAGCAAGTTCTCTCCTCCTGCATCCATTCTCTGTCCTCCCCTTGGACCGACATCAGTCAGACATGCCCTCCAGCTTCAGGTTCTGTTTAGTCGATAGAAGAGGGAGAGAATGGGATATTCCTGCTATCTCAGCACCATTTGGCTGATGCACTGGCCCTCTGCATCATCAGGGGAGCCCCTGGAGCTCCAGTCTTCTCACACTGTAATAACATGTCCTTCTCTTTGTCTCTTCAGTCTTAGGGATGATAACGGTTTGCTAGTCCCTGGGTGCCTCAACCCCCTTGTTGTTTTCCTTGTCCATTCTGTAAAACTTTTAATTATCTTCAAAACTCTAGATTGTCTTCTGTTCCCTTTGAGGACCAGATTGATAGAAAGTCCAGATGAAATATATTGGTTGCTGGGAGGGGATGAGGGGACCTAAGGGAGGTGGTGGTGAGGGAAAGTGAAGAGGACATATTTGAGAGATGCATAGGAGATAAAATGGAGAGGACTTGGTGATAGAGTTGGAAAGTAAGGCAGGGGGAGGTATTTGTTGACCCTGGTTTCTGGGTTTTGTATCTTGGCAGATGGTGGGAGAGGTCCACATTTAGTAAGGAAGCTTATGAACTCATTTCTCTCCAACATTTTATTATGAAAAAAATGCAAACCAGGAAAGTCATTTTTGGATTTGTTAAATTAGGGAGTACTTTGGCGTCATCCAAGAAAAGATGTCAAGTTAGCTACTGTATAGTTGAGTCTGGAGCGTGGCAAAGATGTGTGGGCTGCAAATACACCTTTCTGAGTTGCCTGTGGCTTCCGAACTTGCTCTCAAATTACTTCCTCAAGAAAGCTTCTCTATCCTGCCCCTGCAAACTAGCTGTGTGCCCCATGCTTCTACGTAGTAGCATCGTTTCTCACAATTATAAACTTGTGTTTAGTTATGTAATGTCTGTCTTCCTAAGTATAATTTAATCTCTCTAAAAGCAGGGACTTCACCTTGTTCAGAGCAGTATCCCCAGTGCCTAGCACAATCCTTGCACTTGTAGGAATTTCTGAATTATTTGTTGAATAAACCAATGAATCAACTATTGTTTGGACTGCTTTGGTGCATTGGGGCTGACAGCTACTTGAATGTCCGAGGCTCGGGATTATCCAGGACTAGCCCTTTGAGCTTGGTCCGGAGGTTTAGTCCTTCTAGTATCATGGATACACAACTCTGCTTGTCTATCCAGTCTTTCATAATTCAGCACATTGAACCAATTACTTTGCCAATTGGCTCACCTCTGAAGTGTGAAAGTCTCTGTTCAGGTTTGACCATGTTCCAGTTTATAGGAAATGACCAAAGTTGAAAGTATATGAAGATCTAAACTAAAAACACCGATTTATGGCCAGGATCTAAGATTCAAAAAGTAAGAGGCTGTGGATAAGAAGTCACATGTTGGGAGCGTGAGCTCAGTTCTGCTTGGAAAGATCTGAGAGACTGTGCTGTTGTCTTTCCTCAAGCCATTTAGTGCTCTCTGGGGCTATTTTGAACCCAAAGGTTCTTGGCCTTTTGAGATAATATACAACTTTGAGAAATTGCTCAAAGCCTTATAATTTTTTCTTCAGAAAAATGCTAATGAGCACATTTTGGAGACATGGTTACATATATAATGTTATCAGAGGCACTCAGGAGCCTCTCCAAGGATTTCAGGTTAAGATTCCTATTCTAACCTAATTCAAAACCAGCCTTCCACATTGGGGTGTCCAGCTCCTTCTGTTGCAGGGCCCTGGTGATCCTGGAAGTAGTTGGTTAACTAGGGATGGTAGGTCCCTGATGGAATAGCATCAAGGAGAGGAAGGGCATGGAGCATAGAGAAAATGGAATTGGGCCATAATCTTTGCATTTCCCACTGAAGCTTATATATCTGCAGTCTTCACTTTAATCAAAATAGCTTAATTTAGGAAAGAAAGAGCCCACTGTTTTTGCTTTATAAAATCCTGATTTTATTGCTTCCTGAAATTTTTTTTAAAGGAGAAATACAAACCATACGTTGCAAGGGCCTTCGTTTGACAGTTTAACTGGGGTCATGCTAGGACTGTATAGATATTGCTGATTATGATAGGAAAGCCAGTGGGATGGGTCTGACAAGGATCTGTTGGCAGCAAGAATCAAGGGACCCCCTTTGGAATGATCCCATCACAAGGAAGAAATGGTTGGGGACAATGTGTCATGTTTGTGAGTCAGTTGTGAATTTTAATACAGCACAATGATGGTCACTTATTGCCCTGCAGACCCTGAAGACTTCTGCGTGACCCAAAGAAAGAAACATTAATAGTGATTAAAAAATGTTAAAACTTTGTTGTATTAAAATATCTGTAAGGCAGTGTAGCAGATGCAGGTGGCTTCTTATTGTGATCATCTATGACTTCCTGGCCGAGAGCCTTTTTCCTGGAGCAAAAGAAGCAAGCTGAGGCAAGCTGGAAAGGCAGAACATTAATTCACCTGGAAGAAGCCCTCAGTCAACGACAGGTGGGGATTATCCAGTGATGGATGAAGAGCTTCCTCACCCTTCGATTGGGATAACTCTGAGATGTGTTCTATGCTGTCTCCCAGAGTTCCCCAGCAGTATTGGAGTACAGGGGTAACTGGCTGGATAACACACCATTTATTAGCTTTCTTCCCATCACTATAATATCTTACTTTTCCTATCCCTATTCCCTGTTCCTGGGATCGCCTCCTAAAGAAACTATTTGCATGTAAATCTCTGTCTCAGGGATTATTTCAGGCTGGGGGTGGGAGGAATCCCATACCTAGACAGGCACTGAGGATATATACAAGGCATCATAGGTTTGGAGTCAGATCTGGATTCAAATTCTTTCTCACCAGTGACATTGAACAACTTAATTTATCTAAGATTGTTTGTTAGAGATAATGACACTGACCTCATAAGGTCATATTGTAAGGAAAAATTTGAGAATGTATAAAGCCGTGTACACAGTGGCTTACACATGGTAAGTGCTTAATAAATGTTGGGTATTATCATTAATACAGTATTTATAATATTGTTAATACAGCATAGCCCAGGTAGAGGGCAAAGCACAAAGCTGTTTTCCATCCTTGGGGTGACTGCAGAAGCAGGTTGATTTGGCAGATGTGCTGTAGATACTGTGTCCCTAGTGAGCAGCTGTGGCATAGCAATATCAATAGCTTAGAGCAAGCATTGCCCCAGTGAGCCAGGGCAGGAGAGGAGGAAGGTGGTGCACACCAAGTGGTGGCTCAAAAGATGAGCAATTGGCAGTGAACAATGGTATTGCCAATTGTGCTTAGTCTCAGTAAGCACGGATAGCTACAGCACCAATAACTTCATGTCTGTGTCTAGTATACACTTGGGTCGTTGGAATTTCATTAGCCTCACTCTTGAGGGATTATGTTCAAGGCTACCAAGACTAAGTTTCTGATTTCAACCTGTTTTCCCAAATGTACAAGGGACTCTTGCTTTTGTTACATTTATGAACCTAATTTGTTATTTTAAGGTCTTTCAAATTGGAGCTGTCTCTTCTGTCCCCCTTTATTCCCTATTTGCAGACAAGACCATATTTCAGTTCTTTGGCCACAGTGAAAGAGAAACTGAGACACCAAGAATCTGAGGCAGGTTAAAGGATTTCACTCGTTCTCTAATCCTGATTAATTACAGTGTCAGGTTTCACCTGTAGTGCTTCAGACTTCTCAAACAGCCTTAGGTTCCAGAGCAGATAGAAATGAGGGGCCACTCACATGTATACATATGTAACAAACCTGCACGTTGTACACATGTACCCTAGAACTTAAAGTATAATTTAAAAAATAAAGAAATGCGGGGCCACTTTGGCTAGGAAGGCAGACAGCAGGTAGCATTAGTTGTTGCCCATCCCCTGCAGGTGCAGCCCAGTGCTATGGGGGAAGAATTTGTTTCAGTCTCTTTTATTGTTTCACTCGAGTCAGAAATCAAGGACCATGGTAACATCCAATCACAATCTCCTCTTACCTTTAGACACTAATAGACAGATTTCTCCTCAATTGATGTAGAGAGACATATGCATGTAACATAACATGATTTTTGACCAAAAGCAACTTTTAAGAGGGGATAGTATTACAAATACAAGGGACTGACCCAGCGACCTTGGCACACCTGACATTAAGAACCAGAATCACAGTCTATTAATCTCATCTGTTTCCTTCGAGAAAGGAAAATGTTTAAGACCTTGTCAGAAGGTCTTAGGCTCATGTAGGGGATTTTCTCTAGTGGGTTCCATGACATCTGTATATGGTTTCAGAAAAATCCATTGACATTGACACTTTCTGGAATACTGTTAGTTCTTCTCAAGGCCATTTGCATGAAAGTAATGTATGTTCATGGCTTTTCTTATGTTAGACTGTGAGCTCCTTGAAGGCAGAATTCAGATATTATTTGTATCTGCTCAGAAGCCAGCATAGTTCCTGGAATGTTGCCATGTTTAGCAAAAAACAAAACAAAACATTTGCTGTTTGTCTGAAATTCAAATTTAACTGGGTGTCCTGTATTTTTTCTGGCAACCCTATTCCTGGCACATAGCTAACCTCAATAAATATTGATGAGTGAGAGGATGAATGAATGACTAACACAGTACCAACAAATGGAGAAATAAACTGGTAAAAACTTCAATTGACCATATAAAAGACACTCATCTAAATTATGCCTAACAATCACAGAACAACACTGTGTCTGGTTAACATACTGCTTTTTAAAATCTGACAGTCTGGCTTTAATGGGAAATGCATTTTCTATCCATGCTTTGTCACCCACTTTTACTCAGGGTCCATGTGGGAAGAATACTAATCTCCTGGTAATGAAGGTGTTTTGTTCCAACAATTTCACATCTTAATTCCGCACATTTCTGATCTCACATGTTTGTTTATTAGTGTGTACCAGTTGTACAAGAAAATTGATTTTAGGTGGTATATGGGTTTATCATTCTGAAGTACAATCACCTCTGTATCTTCCTTTAAAATTGCCAAAATTGTGCTGTTACTCCAGCCAAACCCTGGGGTTTTGGGTAAAGTCATTCACCGTGATTAAACCATCAGGACCAATTCTGTTTGGATAAAGGTATATCTGCAGTTAGTTCATTGACAGTTAATCTTAAGAAAGACAATATGCAAACAACTCTCATTTCACATTAATTCTGCTGTTGCTCCTTTTTCTCTTAACTTTGTTTTTCTGAGACAGGGTCTGGCTCTGTCGTCCAGGCTGGAGTAAGTGATGCAATCTCGGCTCACTGCAACCTCTGCCTCCTGGGCTCAAGCCATTCTCCCAATTAACTGATACAGACACACACCACCACGCCCAGCTAATTTTTGTATTTTTAGTAAAGATGGGGTTTCACCATATTGCCCAGGCTGGTCTTGAACTCCTGAGCTCAAGCCATTCACCCACCCTAGGATTACAGGTGTGAGCCGCCATGACCAGCCCTCTTTTCCTCTTAACTCTTGACTTGCTGCTCCTCCTCTCATCCTCCTCCTCCACTTCTGTTCCACTGGTCATAGCTAAGCATGAGTCAGAGTTACTGGAGGGGCTTATAAATACGCAGATTCCTGGGCTCCACCCCTAACAGTTTATGATTCCATGGGTCTAGGGTGTAGCCTGAGATTCTGCATTTCTAACATGTTCTCAGGTGCCGCTGCCGCTACTGCTAGCCTCAGTAGCACTCAAAGAATTATTGTCCTATATCATTCTTTTCCTTCCTCTTCTCCTTCCCTTTCTCCTTTTCTTTCAGATCGATATTTCATGTCCTCACTTTTCTGTTCCCAGAGCAGTATAATACAATAATCTCACTCTGTCTTGGCCCCATAGATTTGTTTTCCTGGTATTCTTTCACCTCCAATTGGTAAAAGTTAACTTACACTTCCTGTTCAATGTAGTTTAGCATCCTGCTGACATGTGATGCACAGATCTCCCCATCCACTTCGGCAATATACGTGTAGAGAAACTGGAAGGTGCTGAATGGGATTCGGGGCAACCCACCATTGTGGTCACATGATAAGACCTCACACACTATCTTGAGAGTTTTGGTAATAGTCTATAAAAGTTACATAAAATGAGGAGAAAGTTACTCTTCCAGGCAATATTCCTGAGATCCATTTAGATACAAGAAAGAAAACAAAAATATTGCTCTTATAAAATGAAGTGGGAACAATTTAAGATTCTAGAAAGCTTGAAATTTTTACATTCAAATGTCACTAATTCATTCTAAAAAATATTGAGTATTGGGTATCTTTATTTTTCTTTCTTTGTTAGAAGACTACTCAAGGAATTAAATTTATAAATTCCTAAATACTTTAAGATATTTGTTACTTTAGTCTGAATACCCTCACTAAAGGAGGGAAGTTGATTTGCATTCTATATAATTAGAATTATTTCTTATTACCCTCCAATCTTATCTCTAAAGGGCTGAGATAAATGGTCTAGCCTATATACTCCAGCAAGACACAGTAGAGGAGAAGAAGGTAAGAGAAGGATAATTTCCCCAGGAAAATAGAGTCCCAGGAAGATACTGGAAAAAAGGTCTTGAACATCAAGATAAACCTTCCTCCAAAGCATCTGGGTCCATCTAAATAGAATCACCTAGTGCTTTATTTCATTTTACGTAATACTAACCCTTTTATTGCTGGGGAAATATTGGTTGAGAATGAGTGCCAGGAATTTTAACAGAAGGGTTACTACAGAAGCAAACCCTCCTTACAATGAAACTTGAACATTAAAGGAGCATGCTCAGAACTCATCTCATGTCTTTAAATAACCCACCCTTTGAATAAATGTTACAAGCAAAAGAGTTGTGAAATGAAGCTCAGCATACAGATCTTGGTGGTTTACTGAAACTGGTGATGTACGGATCATCCTGACACACTCTTCCAGGGATCAGTGAAAGATCAGTCCTGAGTGGTGACTTAGGGTGAGTGAAAAAGCAGCTGCTGTATCTTCCCACATGATTAGTAGAGGAGACTTGTCCTGCCTTAGCAGTTGATGTCTGCTGTTCTCCTCTCATCCTCTCCCAGAACAGAATGATTGCCTAGATGAGGCTTCTCTAACTGTGGTATGTGTTACCCAGGAGCATAAGTCTATGTCAGGAGGTACTGAGGATGTGAATAAACTCTTCCTTGAGTGATAGTTTTACTTGATGGCAAGTAATTTAAACATAATTTATAATAATTATTAATTTTAATTGAGTTAATATTTAAAATTTGTTTCTTTACATTTAGTAAGCATTGTTATTTTATGAAACAGAATCTTCAATAAACCACACGATGTCAAAAAAAAATGAGTTTGAGGCAGGCCACCTTCCTTTCCTCTCCTCTGTCCCTGGGGGTCCTATCATGGAAATCATTGTGAAACACTGCATCTTCTAGGCACTTCCACTTAATTCAGAGCAGGTGGGAGGGCAGGCATGGGGCTAACAAGTATATATGCGGCTATCTGGGAGGATGGTAAGTCATGCTTGTGAGTGGGAGAATGCTTTGGGGTAGATTTGCAAGCACACTCTGAACTTTATAATTTCCACCCACAGCTCACCCGTTTCTGTAAAAAACAAACAAACAAGCAAACAAAAACAACCCTCTGCACCCCTAATGCTTTGTTCTGTTGCCCTCTCCATGGGGTGGTGGTATGGGCTGAATTGTTCCCCCTAAAATTCATATGTCAAAGCCTTAACCCCAGAACTGGAGAATGCAATTGTATTTGAACATACGACCTTTAAAAAGATAAGTTAAAATGAAGTCAGTAGGGTGTCTTTTTAAGAAGAGGAGTTAGGACATAGAGAGAGCCACCAGACATGTAGGCACAGAGGGACACAGTTCGAGAAGCTGGCCATTTTTAAGCCAAGGAGAAACGTCTCAGAAGAAAGCAGTCCTGCTGACAGCTTGTTCCCAGAACTTCTGTCCTCCAGAACTGAGAGACAACAAATTTCTGTTGTTCAAGCCACCAAGTCATGGCAGCCCTAACAAACTAACATAGGGGCTTTCAACTCTAAACATCATCTTTTATTGATTATTCAAACAATAACCCTTCAAATTCTATTGCCTCGTAAGATTTTTAAATATTTTTAAAGATTTAATAAATGGATGAGTGGATAAATAACTGTACTAGAGCTATTTGGTAAACTGACATAAATCTAAAGGAAACAGATCTTCATTCTCTTGCACAATATTTTTTTGGGGATCCACTTCACAGAGGTAGTCTTTAAACATCTTGCGAGCTTCATTTTCAAAGTCAGAGGTGAAAGCCTTGAAATGTGAATAATTTGCTAAAAAAAAGTCATTCTTTCCAGTGAACATGATTATTTTCTACATACGTGATCTCTTCCTTTTTTAATAATCAGTTCAGTGGAACAGGAGGTGGCATAGGCCAGTCCAGAGGAAGGAGTGCTGAAGGGGGGAGGAATACAGGTCTGTGTGCCATCGCATTCTGAATAATGTGTATTCGACGCAGAGAGCTCAAGATGGAGTAAATGTACCTATTACCTACCGGAGTAAAAATTCCTGTTACTAGACTCTTCTACAAGGAACAAACTGGCTTTTCTAGATGACACAGAGATCCTGTCTTGCCGTTGAATTCGCAAAGGAAAGAGAAACTCTGGGCTTGCCTCTAAGGATATATGAATTAACTAGGATGCAAGGTCTCCACCAGATGGTGACCCCTGACTTAGTCTCAGCTATAATAAAATACCTTAGACTGGGTAATTTATAACAACAGAAATTTATTGCTCACAGTTTTGGAGTCTGGGAAGTCCAAGACCAAGGTGCCAGCAGATTTGCTCTCTGGTGAGGGCCTGTTCCTCATGAATGATGCCTTCTATGTGTCCTCACTTGGTGGAGGGGCAACTTTTATAAGGGCACTAATCCCATTCATGAGGGCTCCACCCTCATGACCTAATCAACTCCCAGAGGCCCTACTTTTAAGGCCATCATCTTGGAAGTTGAGATTTCAATATATGAATTTTGGGAGGACACAAACATTCACACTGTACCACTGACCAACCCCACATTTAAGATCCCAGAAACAGTCCAGCATGATAGAAATGAATATAAGGGTATTGATTACTGGATTCATAGGGCACCCCTTATTTACAGACTTAACCTCCAGGCTGACTTTACCTCTAGGGGTTCTTTGACATGGGGATGATGAGGAGCAAAGTCAGATATGTCAAGGCCTCTTAGAATTGGAGGAGCTCACTGTTATTCAGAGGTAGGCCTGAGGGTGTCTCAGAGGAAGCAGAGAAGTGGGGATAGAATCACAGGATGTCAGAGGTAGATGAATCTCATGGAACATTGAATCCCACCTCCTTGTTTTAGAAGGGAAGTAGAAAGATCCAATTCACCTCATGATTTCCCCTCTCTAGTTTGGGAGGCAGGTACATCAGAAGAAACTTAGCATCTACACGGTGGGCTAAGCAGAGGGAGGGTTGGAATTTGACTTTCCAAAGTCACTCTTTGTTACTCTGAGGTATGGGGATAAGGGAAGGGCTCAGACACATCACACACTGGTGAGGGGCTGTGAAGTAGACCACCAGAGCCAGGGAGCAGATAGCACACCCTGGCGGACTCAAAGAGGCCCTTGACACCATTGAGAACTGAAATGAGCCAGCTCGGGAGGCATCCTCAGACTTTCACCAATCTGGGAGAGACGAGACCAAAAACTTAAGCTGCAAGCAGCTAGCGACCAGACAGATAGGCATTACCATGGAGACCAGAGATGCCAGAGAAGACTGAGGGATGTGAGAAACGACTGCTCTGTGGTCCTCTTTCCATCTACATTCAACTGCCATCTTGGAGAAGAGAGCGTGGTGAGGAAAAACCTGAGATACTGGGAAATGTACCTTTAGGCTGTTTCAGTTACTGCATCAGACTAAAATTTCAGGATTGGATTGAATTTATTTATTTTCTTATTTGACCCTTTGTGGGTGGGGTAGACAAGATCAGAATTAACTGCAGATAAAATTTTAAAGGTACATTTTCCCCCAAAACGTCTCCAAATGTGGTGTGAAAAAAATCT